>NC_000010.11:10767575-10919090 GCF_000001405.40 Homo sapiens | reverse complement strand
CCACGTTGACCAGGCTAGTCTCGACCTCCTGACCTCAAGTGATCTGCCTGCCTCAGCTTACCAAAGTGCTGGGATTACAGGTGTGAGCCACCGCACCTGGCCCATCTCTTGTCTTTCAATCAGAAATGTATTCTTGGAACGAGAAGGGAACAATGAGTAGAAGGAGGAGATGGAGGCTTTCGGTTGAACTCTTTTAAAAGGAGAGGAGGGCTCAACTTCAAGGGATTAAAGGTGGAATTCTTAGGAACAATGGTATAAAATCTCCTTAGTGTCATATAACCCCTTTAAGAATCTCATTAAAGACACAAACACCTTACATAGAGAAAATAACAATATATACAAACACACAGACTGTGGTACACACTTGCAGACGGTTCATTGACCTCCTGAATCCAATGTGTCAATCCTGGTTAAGCTTCAGCTTTAAAGGAACATTTTCTTTTCCTACTGTGTCAATTCAAACAGAGGACTTCCTTCTCAACAAAGGACATTCCCTGACCCTCCCAGCTATTAGAACTCCCTCTTCCTATTTACTCCCTGTGATAATACCTGAGCACTTTGGAGAAGTGGTGGTTCCAACAGAGCCATACTTCCTTAGTAAATGAATAAGTTTAGTTTCTATAAAAATATTCTTTCCTAAGTAATCATATAATATTAAACAATCAGCTTTTATTGCTATAAAGATTGGCTTTGGGGAGAAAGTTTCCATTCCTTCAGCAAAACCAGAATTGAAGGTATTGTCCACTCTGCCACTGAATGTGTCACACATGTTCATGTCTTTGAAGAATTTAGTGGCTGCATGAAAAATTCTCTTTCCAAACAGAATCTGGAATTGTGGATACCCAAGCTAAGAAATACCCCTCCCTATTTAGCCTTCCCTTATGACATTTATTACAATAGAAGTCTCTTTTAAGTGTCTGTTTTATCCTTTATCTTTCTGTCATTTGAGACCGACATATACACTCAATAAATATTTATTCATCTTATCAGGAATGAATGAACTTTTCTGGCCTCGTTGACCTTGAGGGTGAGATTTATGTTTACAGCTTGATTGTAGTAACACTAACAGCACAGAGTTAAGATACAACTGAATTTCTTTGTGTCTAATCTTTTAACTTTTTATTTTTGCTTTCCAGACGATACATATTTTAATATGATGAGTCTCCTGGGATCTTTTAAAACGAAGTTGTTCATACATTATAATAAATCCATTTAAATCACAGTGGAGCATTTCTCAAACTTGACATTATTTTGAGCAAAATAATCTTTTGTTTTGGATGTTGTTTAATCTTGGACATTGTAGAATGTTTAATGGCATCCCTGTCATCTACCCACTGATGCCGGTAGTACTGCTCCCCACCAGCCCCACTGTAGCTCCCAAACATGTCCTCAGACAATGCTAAATGTCCACTGGTGACAAAGCTGTCTTCAACTGAGACCGCTGCAGTAAGGCCAAGCACAGCGGCTCACACATGTGATCCTAGCACTTTGGGAGGCTGAGGCAGGAGGACGGCTTGAGCCCAGGAGTTTGAGGCCAGCCAGGGCAACACAGTGAGACCCTGTCTCTACTAAACATTTGAAAAATGAGCTGCTCATCATGGTGCCTGCCTGTAATCCTAGCTACTTGGGAGGCTGAGGCGGGAGGATTGCTTGAGCCCAGGAGGTCACAGCTGCAGTGAGCCATGATTGTGCCACACCAGTCCACTCCAGTCTGGGCAACAGAGTGACATTCTGTCTCTTAAAAACAAAACAAAACAAACAACAATCCACTGCAATAGAAATGTCCATAATTGACCTCTGTTTCAAAAGCTTACTGGATTGACCAACATCCTTCACTCACAAGGGAAAACACAGAGGCTGAGGCCTCTAAGAGCACCTGCTTTGCTTTGGCTCCAGCTGCTTAAGTCTCCACGCTTACCAAGAGTATACTGTGTTTGTTCCCCAACCTGTTTATGGTACTGGCAATCACTGTAATTTTTAAATTTAATTAAGCCTGATGTAAAATTGATGAAATACAAGTGTGGAAAAATTCTTGTTTCTGTAAAAACTAAGTTAGAAACTTTGAAAAGATAAAAAATGACAAGTCACTTAAGAAAAACTGATGTTGAATTAGATACAAATGTCTCTAAGTTCTTTTTCCTTAAAAAAAAAAAAAAGAAGAAGAAGAAGGAAATTCCAGGCTGGGTGCAGTGACTCATGACTGTAATCCCAGCACTTTGGGAGGCAGAGGCAGGTGGATCACTTGAGGCCAGGAGTTCGAGACCAGCCTGACCAATGTGGTAAAACCCCATCTGTACTAAAAATACAAAAATTAGCCGGGTGTGCTGGCACGCGCCTGTAATCCCAGCTACTCGGGAGGCTGAGGCAGGAGAATTGCTTGAACCTGGGAGGCAGAGGTTGCAGTGAGCAGCGATCACGCCACTGCACTCCACTCCGGGTAACTGAGCAAAACTCTGTCTCAAAACAACAACAACAACAAAAGAAATTCCAAATGGTGGACTATGGGTGGATTTATGCACAAAAGACAATGCAGAACTTTATTCAGTGAATCACACATTCAAAGACAAAGGTGTTGGCCCTACCTTGAAAGCAAAAGATAGATGCTGGGGAAAAGTCATGTTCATCATGTATTAAGTCCCAGCCGGGGAAAACTATGCTTTACACGCTCATGTGCTAAAAACTGACATTAGAGTTACAGATATTACTTGATGTCCATGATTACTGAAAACCTGATGATTTCATTGGTGCATGTAGCTCCAAATTTTAACAAAATGAAACAGACAAAAACACCCCACTGTATTTGACTGCAGTAATGTAGCTAGGAGTCATCATCCAGTCACCATTTTTGAGACCAGCAAATCGACAAACACTGGAGCTTTTCAGGTGACCATTTGTTTGTTTTTATCTGTTTACTACTGTTAAACAGTCATCTGAATTAGTGACATGTTTTCATGAATTTATACCTTTTGTAAAGCAACCCTTGAGGAAAATAAATTGAGCAGAATATCCCATGCTTCTAGATTATGCTCTGTCATAACCCACCTGAGGTGATTTAAAGCAGGTGACATAAAAACCATGCATTTTTCATTGACCTTTTATAGGCACAATGTCCATTATTAGCATTGCTTCCTAAGCGTAAATCATCTTTATTTCCTGACTAATATTTATTCATGCAAAATATTCATTAGCACTTAATCTACGTTCAGCCCAGGCAATGCTGGATGTTTTGAGAGGCACTAAGATGAATTTAGATCCTGATCCTTCTTGCCAAGTGTTTACATTCCAGTAAAAGAAACTGTATAAGGCACCAAGTAATGAATACTCTTCATTTATCTACTACTGAAAACTCCCCTAAGGGCCGGGTGCCGTGGCTTACACCTATAATCCCGGCACTTTGGGAGGCTGAGGTAGGAGGATCGCTTGAGCCCAGGAGTTCAAAACCAGTCTAGGCCACATAGCAATACTGCTTTCCTATAAAACAAAAACAAAAACAAAAACAGAAAAAACAAACAAACAGATGAGGTGGGCATGGTTGCATGCACCTATAATCCTAGCTACTTTGGAGGCTGAGGTGGGAGAAGCACTTGAGCCCAGGAGTTCAAGGATGCAGTGAGCTGTGATCCTTCTACTGCTCTCCAGCCTGGGTGACAGAGCAAGATCTTATCTCAAAAACAACCACAAAAAAGGCTACTCTTAGTCAAAGATCACAGCTCATATAAGATGTTGAATACTCAGTGCCTGGCACACACCAAACACTTAATAAATTTGAGTGTATAGACATTTTCTACTGGCTGGTAATTCTGCTCTCTTAAGTTCATTTTTTAAAAAATGCCTGATATAGTTATAGCAGTATTTGGAGTTTAATTGTACTAATTTCCTTTCCTTAGTTATCATTACCAAGATAATCTGATTTCAAGTGAAAAGCAGAACACTAAAAAATCTTTTTTTTTTTTTTTTTTAAAATAAAGTTTCACTCTGTCGCCCACGCTGGAGTGCAATGGTGTGACCTTGGCTCACTGCAACCTCCGCCTCCCAGGATCAAGTGTTTCTTCTGCCTCAGTCTCCCGAGTAGCTGGGATTACAGGCACATGCCACCACACCCTGCTAATTTTTTTTGTATTTTTAGTAGAGATGCGGTTTCACCATGTTGGTCAGGCTGGTCTCCAACTCCTGACCTGAGGTGATCCACCCGCCTCGGCCTCCCAAAGTGCTGGGATTATAGGTGTGAGCCATCATGCCTGGCCCAGACCACTAAAAATTGAATGAAAACAAGGATGCAAACAACTACAAAGTGCAATTATATGTTCAGAGAAAAAGAACTGTCCCAGCAACTAAGAAGTAGAATGAGGTGATGGAAGGTGCTGGTTCTGATAAGTTGTATATCCTTGGGCAATTCATTTGACCTCTTCAGGGTCTCTGTGTCTCAGATGTCAAAGTAACACCACACCATCGTTGGTGTGATCATCAGCCTGAACCAACAGGAAAGCTCTCCGCAAATTTGAAGTTGCAGCATAAATTCAGTTTTATTGAAGGAAAAAAATCCCGAAAAAGATAGCAGACAAGTGTCCCCTGTGTCTGACACAGTTTTGGTAGATTATTTAGCATTCCTTAAAAAAAATCTTTTAATTTTAAATATGTAGAGCATTCATCAGTGCAAAGCGTGATGCCAGCTTTTATCAGCTGTCTGCAATAACATTCCCTCGTCATCTCCTGTCCTTCCCCGTTCCTGAACTATGCGAGCAGTTCTTTTTTTAGGAAGTGTTGAAGCAAGAGCACACCATCTATTTCTGTGCAGCCTCTGCCAGTTTCCAAAATTAGCTGACAACTGTAAAACACAAGACATGAGCCCCCATGCTAATTGTGTGTCAGCAAGATAAATATTTTTAAGACCTGGAATGTTTTTCTCCAACTGTATCTTTAATTTTTTTCCCAAAAGTACAGAGAACATTTTTTTTTTTTAAAAAAAGGTAAAATAGATTTTATTTGTATTGCCTGTCCTAAAAATGATTTAATGTTCTAGTTGTAGAAGGTGTGGGGTTTTCTTTATTGTAATTAGGAGTGAAAGTATTACAACCAAGCAGATTTTTCCCCTCCCCTCTCTTCCCCTTCCCTTTTTCCTTCCTTTCCCTTTTTCCTTCCTTCCTTCCTCTCTTCCTTCCCTTTCCTTCCCCTGCCCCGTCCGTCCCTCCCTCCCTCCCTTCCTTCTTCCTTCCTTCCTTCCTTCCTTCCTTCTCTCCTTCCCTCCTTCCTTCCTTCCTTCCCTCCCTCCCTTTCTTTCTCTCTCTCCTTCTCTCTTTCTTTCTTTTGTCAACTAGCTTGAGGCAAACTGTGGGCATTTTTAATTTGGATCCATTTTCAAATAAAACATAAACAAGAACTTAGCTTAAAGACATCATTACAGGCTGGGTGCAGCGGCTCACACCTGTAATCACAACACTTTGGTAGCCTGAGGCAGGTGGATCACCCGAGTTCAGGAGTTTGGGACCAGCCTGGGCAACATGGTGAAACCCCATCTCTACTAAAAATACAAAAATTAGCTGGGCGTAGTGGCACATGCCTGTAATCCCAGCCACTTGGGAGGCTGAGGCAGGAGAATCGCTTGAACCCGGGAGGCGGAGGTTGCAGTGAGCTGAGATTGCGCCACTGCACTCCAGCCTGGGCAAAAATAGTGAGACTCCATCTCAAAAAAAAAAAAAAAAAAAAAAAAAAAAGACATCATTACAAAGGCATATATATTAATTCAGGACAGTTAATTTTTTTTCTTGTGTGGTGAACCTTAGCACTGGAAAATCCCAAACACCTTAGAGATGAAAGTTTCTTCTCTGTTAAACAAAATCTAAAGACACTGTCCTTTCCCCTCACTCTGATTTTCCCTCTGGTCATTCATCACTATGTTTTCATTCTTTTTGGCCTTCATGTCTTCTCTCCTACTTTTATTCCTCCTTGATTTTCACTCATGATTAAAACATCAAAATGTGTGTGTGTGTGTCTGTATACAAACACAAGTAATTATTCTCACATGGTGAAATCTACAATTGCACACACACATTCATGGAACTGTTCACATCAAATGGAATCTTCTTTAACACCAGCCACTATTCCAGGCCATTTACAGGCGTCCACTCACTTAATCCTTAGAAAAGCCTCACGAAGTAGTTACTATCACTACACCATGGTTAGGACGAGAAAAATGAGACAAAAGAATGTTATGTTACTTCCCAAGGCCATGCAGGCAATGACAGATAGAGTCAGGATTTGAACACAGCCCAAGCATCCCAGCTCCGGAGCCCATGCTTTTCATCAGGATGTGAACAACAGGGGAGTATGCGTAAGCCACAGATATGTTATCTATGCTGTATACTCCTGCACCCCTTCTGGCTTCTGCTATAGCAAATGAACAACAGCAACAAAAAAAGCCCCGTTGGCTGGGCGCACTGGCACACGCCTGTAATCCCAGCACTTTGGGAGGCCGAGGCAAGCAGATCACAAGGTCAAGAGATCAAGACCACCCTGGCCAATATGGTGAAACCCCCTCTCTACTAAAAATAGAAAAATTAGCTGGACATGGTGGTGCATGCCTGTAGTCCCAGCTACTCGGGAGGCTGAGGCAGGAGAATCGCTTGAACCTGGGAGGTGGAGGTTGCAGTGAGCCGAGATCGCGCTCCAGCCTGGAGACAGAGCATCTCAAAAAAAAAAGTAAGTCCCATTGTTAGGAACTTCACATTCTAGAAGTGGGAGATAGACAAAAACCAAACAAGCAAATGAATATTGATTCCTACATTATATAGAATATGTTATGAAGGATGAAGCAAGGTAGCGGGGTAGAAAGTAAAAGCAGGGTGGCAGAGGCTGTAATTTTATGCAGGGTGGTCCTGGGAGACCTCTCTGATGCGGTGACTCTGTGAATATGTGACTGCATTAAATGCAACCGCTTCCATCCTCACCTCCCTTTCTTATGCTCATTTCTTTCCTTTGCACTACTGCATTTCTTTCTTCTCCTCAAGATTTACGGGGTACCTGCTGTATGAAACAGGTGATACTAGGTATTGTTGTAATTTAAGAGAAAAGAAGGGCAGCCTGTGTTTGTACATTCAAAATGCTGATCAGCTAAAACAAGACCCTTAAATAAACTCACCACATCACTTAGAAAACTGTAGGTTTCGACAAGAGATACTTTACATCGCTACAGAGGCCAGCCTCTCAGATCTATTCCTGGGTGGAAATGATTGCAATATGAGCCAGCTACATTCACAGATGTGGTTCTGCTTTCAGAACAGTTTCCCAAGAGCGCTCCTGTAAGTTCCTTCTGCCTAGCCTACATTCATAGGAACGAAACTTTCTCTACCTCTCAGATTTCAAGATAAAGTCCAGGAGGCGGAGTTACTCTTTAAATCACTGCATACACTTTTGGGATTTCGCTGCCTGGACGGAGGTCCGGACAGGCCCCAGGCCCAGGCTTGCGGAGAGGCGCTGCCGTGGGGAAACCGGTCTCCCATGCACAAATCCCTTAGTCAATACTCAGGAATGCACTGCGCGGTGCTTGGAACGAGCCACTTCCATCTGATAGGAGGCAGGCCTGCAGTCGGAGCCGTCAGAGGCATCGCTGCAGTTCAGGTTCATTGAATCTAATCACTGACACATACAGCCTCTTCCTGATCATCTTTCATTTTCACTTGGGGAGTCCTGTTGAGAGTCCTTGCTATGATTTTATTTGGCTCACAATTTACTTGTATTATTTTAGTATTCTTTCTATAAAAGAGCCACAAGTGTGTGCCTTTGTCCCTGCCCTTGTGCTCAAGTGCCTTGAAAATCAAACTGCCAAAGGTTTCTCTTAATCACCTCCGCAGAGGAGCCCATCCGGCCCTGGCTGGCATCTGTAAGGGAAGCCAGTGTGCAAATGGCACTGGTGTCCCTTCCGTCATTTCGAGATAGTGGGAAGGGCTTATGTTTGCTTTCTTTCAGAAATGTCCTCTTCAGACGCAGCTCAGAAACCCACCCAAGAAGAGGAGGCCTGTCTTGGACACTGCTAGTGGCATTATGAGGATGTTCCCTATGCAGGCTTGGGTTTGCATGTTAAGCATCATACACCATATGCTCTGTAATTCTACCACAGTTAGACAATGTGAGCCGCTAAGTACCTGACTCGGCTGTTAGTAACAATTCCTGCTCATTGAAAGTCACTCATTTAGACTTTGGCAGTCGCAAATGTAACCAGCTCTTGAAGATAGTCTCAGAGCCTAGAAATGTCACATGAAGTTTCACTTACCAACTTGTACTCCCAGAACTGAAAAGCAAAAGTCAAAGCAAAAACCGAAAAAACAGACAATGCACATGCGAGACATTTACTTGTGTTTCTTTTTCTTTTCTTTTCTTTTTTTTTTTTTTTTTTTTGAGGCAGAGTCTCACTCTGTAGTCCAGGTTAGAGTGCAGTGGCACGATCTCGGCTCACTACAACCTCTGCCTCCCAGGTTCAAGCGATTCTCTTGCCTCGGCCTCCCAGGTAGCTAGCTGGGATGACAGAAGCATGCCACCATGCCTGGCTAATTTTTGTATTTTTTAGTATAGACAGGGTTTCACCATGTTGGCCAGGCTGGTCTCAAACTCATGAACTCAAATGATCTGCCCACCTCGGCCTCCCAAAGTGTTGGGATTACAGGCATGAACTACTGCACTGGCCTGTGTTTCTTTAAAGCTTTGTGAACAAAGTGACATCTCTCCAAAACAAACCAACAGAAGTGTATTTTTTTCAAATCATATGCTTGTACAAGTGGGAGAGGATCAGTTTATTAAAGAACTCTGCAGTTAATATTGCTGAATTATTGTGCTCTAAGCTGCACTGCAATTCATACGTGGCTTCTTAAGGAAAAACACACCAAAATAATTATTAATCAAAAACAAAAATTTTATATAAGTTCGTTTAAAAGGATGCCTATTTTGCAATAATGCCCAATTTTTCTCTATTAGTTCCCAGGGACATAATATCACTAATAAGTCCTCTTAATTAGAGAAAATCATCTCTACTCTTGATAATTTCTGGATCAAAGAGGGATTTGCAAATACCAGCCTGCATTGTGATGTTTGACTAATGGCCTAATCCATCAACCAACAAGTATTGGTATTGAATTCATTAGCATTTATTCATTTGTTCAACACACATTTCTACACCTCCTACTGTGTGTCCATCTCTACATGCTGGATATTATTAGACAGGAAACTTTATAAACATGAGCCCCCTCTTTCATGAGGCTGTCTGTCTACTGGAGAAGACACAGCCACAAATACTTACACAAATGAATACATAATGACAAGTAATGGGAAGAGATTTTATCCACCTCATTTCACTGATTCCCTTTTGGGGAGGGCAGGAAGGGAGTTTTTGCTGAAACAGATATCAAGGGACTTCATTCGCCTAACAGCCAATGCCAATATTTGTGACTGAGAAAGCAGATAACATGGACAAGAGGAAGAAGATTTTTGTCTTAGAGATGCTCCTTCTCTTTCTGAGAAATGAAAACACAAAAGCCACGGTCTTCAAAGAGGAGTCTGTGTGAGAGCTACCAGGGCAGAAGGAACACGGGAGGTTCTGGTGGAGAGAGAAACCATGGAGAAGAACAAGCAGTTTTGTGACGGCCACAGAAAGACTCCATCCAGAATGAAGTGGTTTGATGGAAAAGATGAAGAGATAAGATACCCTAGCCCCTGGACTTCCGCTGTCTGTGATGAAGTAGGGGCCACATTATTTCCTCCTACCAGGTACTATGAAGGTTCTGAGGGACACAAACCATTTCTAAGGACACAGCCTCTCTTGCCTCCCCCAGATACCCTGAAGTGAGGAACAGATTTGCTCCCTTTTAGGCAGCAGTGTGGCTGCGGTGACCTCAGTCAAAAGGACAGCCCCTCAGAGGACCTCCCTCTCCCTGGGCCTACCTCCAACCTACAGTCAGAACATGGGGCTCCCCTCAGTTAAATGCATTATTTTTCTCTTTAAAAAATGCACCAGCGGCCAGGCATGGTGGCTCACGCCTGTAATTCTAGCACTTTGGGAGGCTGAGGCAGGTGGGATCACTTGAGGTCAGGAGTTCGAGACCAGCCTGACCAACATGGCAAAACCCTGTCTCTACTAAAAATACTAAAAAATTAGCCTGGCATGGTGGCACATGCCTGTAGTTCCAGCTACTCGGGAGCTGAGGCAGGAGAATCGGCTGAATCTGGGAGGTGGAAGGTGAAGTGAGCCGAGATGGCGCCACTGCACTCTAGCCTGGGTGACAGGGCAAGACTACATCTCAAAACAAAACAAACAAACAAAAGTACCAGCAATTGTGTTAAAGCTGTCTCTGGCTACAAGGTTGGAAGCTCTGAGCAGCCACTTATGGAAATAGCAAAGAAATAAAGGTTGTTCTGATATGATTTGAAAGAATCTTTTTGTTGTTGTTGTTAATGTTGGTTTTTATTTTTTAATTTTCTGAACAATGGCTATAAACACATAATAAAATGCTTCTTTCTCCTGAAGATAAAGAACCTATTTCCTTTCTCCAACAGTGTATTTATTTATGTTTAAAAATATCCCTTCAGGTCGGGCGCGGTGGCTCATGCCTGTAATCCTAGCACTTTGGGAGGCCGAGGCGGGCAGATCACGAGTTCAGGAGATCGAGACCATCCTGGATAACACAGTGAAACCCCGTCTCTACTAAAAATACAAAAAAATTAGCCGGGCGTGGTGGCAGGCGCCTGTAGTCCCAGCTACTTGGGAGACTGAGGCAGGAGAATGGCGTGAACCTGGGAGGTGGAGCTTGCAGTGAGCCAAGATTGTGCCACTGCACTCCAGCCTCGGCGACAGAGCAAGACTCTGTTTCAAAAAAAAAAAAAAAAAAAAAAATCCCCTCATACATTCTTTGACAAGGAGCAGGGTAGTGCTATCAGCCCTCATTCCGCAAAGGAGTAAAGTGAGGCTCCCCGAGGGTCAGGAAGCAGCTCAGAGCTGAACATCTCCCCTCTGACTGTACGGGCAGGCCGGGCGGCATCAGTATGGGCAGAAACAGAACTTGATTTGAGTCCTGAGCATAAAGGAGAGAGAGAGAGATGAACATCTTTCCATTCATGAGGCATTTTACCCATTTGAAATAACACTACTCCGAGAGCTTTCTGCAGAAGGGTAGCTCATGCTATTTTAGATCCTTCAAATTTTCCAGGTTGCTTCTTGGACCATGCTGGGCAGATTAAATGTGGTATCCATCATTACCTCTGAAAATGCAAATCTGTGTATTCAATGTATTCAATCATGGTGGGTCATGTCCAAATCTCTCATTTTAACAATCTCCAATACGTCTTTTTTCTGTAGCAACGGGAATTTTGAACCAACCCCAGATGAAATTTACAACCTTCAATACATTCACAGATGACAATTACATCTCTATAATCACTAAAAAAATAAAATAAAATAAAATAAAATAAAACCAACAGAAATGGAATCAACAGTAAAAGAGCTAAATTATAGATAACAGAATATTCATAAAATGATACCTCATCTCATGAGTGTGGGTGCACTGTCTGCATGCCAGGATTTCTTTAGCCATTGGTGATATTCAGCATATTGCAATTGAGTGCAATTACAGTTAGCTATAATTAAGAACAATTACAGCTTTTATTTCTCTACTTGTTCTTTAAAAGCACATTTGTAATAAAACTTTTTTTAAAAGGTGAAGAATATAATTATACATCCTTATAACGTCTCAAATAATTAGTTTGACTAAAGTTTCTTCTGGAACAATTTTCATTTTAACTGTCAAATCTGCCATTTATAGTCAATGAAACATACTTTAAAAAATTCCATCATTAACCTTTTTCACCCCATATAGCTGTATATGAATTATTGGTACAAATTAAAGGTTTCGGTATTTAAATCTCTAGGGCCTGTTGCAAGCTGTACGAATTTTTTCCCTTCTAGTTATGTGTGTGCATGCATGTGTGTGTGTGTGCGTTTGCGTGTGTGTGTCTTTGAACAAAAAGGAAATGCTATATTTGTAGAGTATGTTTTCTTGATCCAGATTTTGGGAAAAGATTTCTTATGTTAGAAAGGTACGTTCTCGTGGCTCATGCCTGTAATCCCAGCACTTTGGGAGGCTGAGGGGGGTGGATCACGAGGTCAAGAGATTGAGACCATCCTGGCCAACATGGTGAAACCCCGTCTCTACTAAAAATACGAAAATTAGCTGGGTGTGGCGGCTTGTGCCTGTAATTCCAGCTACTCAGGAGGCTGATGCAGGAGAATTGCTTGAACCTGGGAGGTGGAGGTTGCAGTGAGCCGAGATTGCGCCCCCGCACTACAGCCTGGCGACAGAGTGAGACTCCGTTTCAAAAAAAAAAAAAAAAAAAAGAAAAGAAAAAGAAAAAGAAAGGTATGTTCTGGTATGTTCTCTACTTTGCCTATTACAGAACACTCTCCTCTTTGTTTATTTACTGTATATTTTTATAGCATCAAAACTAAGAACCCCCTGGATTGTGACAGGTCTGTCTCTTAGTTTAGTAATTTATAGAGCACATGGTCAATATCAGCTTAATTAGGACTAGTGAAATGCTACCTTCTCATAATCTAGATTCTGTCTCAATGCTAGTTCATTCCTGCTTGTCTCCTGTGCTAGACTGTAGATTCCATGAGGGCAGCAGCTTGGGTGCTTTTGTAACATCTCCATCACCAACACTTAGGACAGTGAGTGGCTGGCGCAAAGTGCTGGGTAAAATGAACACACCGCATCAGCAAAGATGGCTTTTTTTCAGGTCTTTCCCATTTATGTTGGGGATAATTAAAAATTTTATCACCTGAATGACTTTGAAGATAGAAGAAAATTAGGTAGTACAACTCTGGAAATTAAGAATATTTTCACCACGTATCCTGTTGAATTAGCAGACCTGGGAAATAAATAGTTAGACAGCCTATGCATGTTGGGAATGAGGAGTTGGGACAGATCATCTTTTAAGATCTTTTACAACTTTTATTTTTTTATTTTTATTTTTATTTTTATTGAGACAGAATCTGGCTCTATCGCCCAGGCTGGAGAGCAGTGGCACCGTCTGAGCTCACTGCAACTTTTGCCTCTTGGGTTGAAGCAATTCTCCTGCCTCAGGTGCCCTGATAGCTGGGACTACAGGTGCATGCCACCATGCCCGGCTAAGTATTTTTTTCTTTTTTCTTTTTCTTTTTTTTTTTTTCTTTTTTGAGATGGAGCCTTGCTCTGTCACCCAGGCTGGAGTGCAGTGGCATGACCTTGGCTCACTGCAAGCTCCGCCTCCTGGGTTCACGCCATTCTCTTGCCTCAGCCTCCCAAGTAGCTGGGACTACAGTTGCCCGCCACCACACCTGGCTAATTTTTTTGTATTTTTAGTAGAGACAGGGTTCCACCGTGTTAGCCAGGATGGTCTCGATCTCTGACCTCGTGATCTGCCTGCCTCAGCCTCCCAAAGTGCTGGGATTACAGGCGTGAGCCACCACGCCCAGCCCTTTTTTTTTTTTTAAGTAGAGATGGGGGTTTGCCATGTTGGGAAGGCTGGTCTCGAACTCCTGGCCTCAAGTGAACCTCCTACCTTGGCCTCCCTAAGTGCTGGGATTAACGGGCGTGAGCCACCATGCCCAGCCTCAAATTTTAGATTATCTAGTAATTTATCAAACTTAGACCAAACTCTAATGGCAATTTAACCTAAGTTTAAAATGGGTATGTGTAATTGTGTGGTGGTGAATAAATAGTATTTCATTCCTAGGAAAGACAATGAGTGACAAAGATACGAATATACTGAAAAATTGCTGTTACTAAAAATACTCTCAATATTCAAAATACTGAAATTACTGGATGTACTTTATTTTGTAAACTTTACCATTTATTCCATAACAGCCACCAATTATTACGTAGTATGTTTTAATCATTTTGCTTAGCACTTCACACATATTCCACAGGTCGACAACACTGTTAGTTATTCATTATCATGTCCATTCTTCAGATGTGGAAACTTGAGGCTCAGAGAAGTCAAATCAGTTTGAACCCAGGCCTGTCCAACTCTAATGTGAACAGTTGAAACAAGCAAACGAAACAAAACACAGCTAATCATGATCAAGAGACATCCAAACAGGATGATAATCTGGGTGGATCCTTATCTAAAGGACGAAATGAGAGAAACAGGGATCTAAGAAAAAAGTCCCACTCCTCAATTTTACTTATAGATCTTGAAGTGTTTTTCCAACTGCTTCTCAGGAATTGATACTTTCTATGACAAAGGTGTATATATGCACATTAGAAGTTTTGAAAGCAGTTGTGGGGTAAAATGGTATTTATCAAGGGTATGGGGTAAAACTGTATTTCTCAGGAGTATGGGGTTAAAGCTCAGTTTAAACCCTCCCCAAGTGTACCAGAGGCAGGCGCATGGGCATTAATCACAGCGACGTCTGCAACAGAAACAACCTGCATGCCCAGGAATAAGGCCATGGCTATGTAAACTGTGCTATGGATGTTGTGTGCAATCTAGGGAGTGGTTAGAAAGAATGAGGTAGACTTCTATATTTTAATATAGAGAGGGTTGGACACAGTGGCTTATGCCTATAATCCCACACTTTGGGAGGCTGAGGTGGGAGGATGGCTTGAGGCCAGGAGTTCATGACCAGCCCGGGCAACATATTGAGACTCTGTCTTTACAAAAAATAAAAATAAAAATATTATCAGGCATGGTGACACATGCCGGTAGTCCCAGCTACTTGGGAGGTAGACGTGGGAGGATCGCTTGAGCCCAGCAGATCCAGGCTTCAGGGAGCTATGATCACACCACTGCACTCTAGCCTGGGTGACAGAAGGAGACCCTGTCTCTAAACAAAAAAAAAAATTAAAAATGGATAGAATTACAAGGCATATTGCGTGATAAAAATAATAAGATACAGAATAATATGGTTCAGTTTAAGGATGTTTGTGTTTAAAAATAAAAGACACAGATGAATAAAATATTCCATGGGTACATTTGAGTCTGGACATGGATGGCAACGGTCCTGGAAGGGAACACAGCAGCGTGATCCACAGTGGACTCTGTAGAGAGAAGATGGCAGGTGGCTGGCACAGAGTGCTGGGTGCCTCCTATCCCCAGCACCAGGGATGCCCTTAACTCATCACACCCACAGCCTGGCCAGGTCCAGCCACATCAGTGAGTCGTTTATGCTATGCAGGCATGCATGACCTGGGGATCAGCTGGCCTCCCCAATGACTGCTTGTGGGCCTCCTGTCCTGTAGGGGCACTATAGAAGAGCCCAAGGCCCCTGTGCAGGTGGCTCTGCATCATCCCCAAGCACAGCTGTACTCCAGTATCCCTGACGCCCTTCACTCACCACCAGGAGGAAATGGGGGGTTTAGTACAGGGTGGATACTCATCACCATGGAGGCCCTTCTGAAAACAAGGGCAGTTTATAAAACTCATTTCACTTGGTCAGGTTGGCCTAATAGTATGTAGTTGGATTCCTGAAATATGTACGGAGTCAATTTTTACACATTGACTCATCTTTAGACTCCCTATAGAAGCTTTCTTACTTAAAGTGGCCCTTTCGGACTCTTTTTATAAGAAACGTGATCAATTTCTTCTTTATCTGTTTCATACATTTGTATTTTCATCAATTGGGTTTGCTTATTGGAAAGTTCCATCATTAATAGAATTCTCTACAGTAAGGGGTAAGTAGAAAGGAGGTATGTGTACTAACAAAAACTCAGTCCTAGAAGACAAATGTGGCCTGAGTTGTATGTATAGCCATCTTCGTTTTCATCTGACATCCTGGGAGCAGATAGGTCAGATTTTTCTGGAATTGTGGACTGGTAGAACCCTCATGTCCCACAAATATTGCAGGGACATTATACAAAATAAATGCAAATGGAATAATGTGAGCCAGCATTCCAGTGGAACAGGTCACTTAGCTGATATACACAGTCAGGGCCAGTCTTAGTGAGATTAGGAAATGGTACTGAGGAGCTCCAAAGAAATCTCACTTTCCTCTCACTAACCTGAGCTCCTAGACGAGTTCTCTGATAGCTGAAATTTCCCTTCTTTCAAGCTCTCTCCTTTCTTTCTTCCTGTCTTTCCTCTCCTTTCTTCCTCCCTTCTTCTCCTTATCTTCCCTCCCTCCCTCCCTTCCTTCCTCCCGCTTTTCCCTCCCTCCCTCTTCTCCCTCCCTCCCTTCTTCCCTCTCTCTCCTGCCTATATTCGCTTCCTCTCCTCCCTCCCTTTCTTTGTCTCTCTCCTCTCCATCTTTCCTTCCTCTCCTTCCTTCCTCACTTCCTCTCCTCCCCTCTCCTCCCTCCCTCCTTTCCTGAGCTTTACTAAGGTGTAACTGACAGATGATCAACTACACCCACTTAAAGTACAGGATTTCATAAATTTACAGCTGTGAAACTACTGCCATAACCAAAATAATAAATCAACCTAACAACTCCAAAGGTTTCCTTCTGCACCTTTGTAATCCTTTTCTCCTATCCCTTCCCTGTCCCCAAGTAACCACTGATTTGCCTTCCTTCACTCTACGTAAGTTTCCATTTCCTGGAATTGTACATAAATAGAATCCTATGGTATGTATCCATGTTTTTGGCCTGGCGTCTTTTACTCAGCACAATTATTTCAGGATTCACGCATGGTGTTGCCTGTATAAACATCTCATTACCTTTCATTGCTGAGTAGCATTCAATTGTATGAGTAGACCATGGGGCCTATGTGTCGATATTTTTCTTGAGGAACATGTGGGTTGTTTCCATTTTTTTGGCTCTTACAAATAGAGTTGCTATGAACATTCATGTACACATCTTTCTATCAAAACTGTATGATTTCCTTGCTCTTGAGTAAACATCTAGGAGTGGAACAGCTGTATCAAATGGTAGATGTGTATTTAACTTTTTAAGAAACGGCCAAACTGTTTTCTAAAGCAAAGGTGAGATAGTGCTATTTTACATTCCTACCAGCAGTGTCTGAGAGTATATGAGAATTCTAGTACTTCCCCTCTCACCGTGACTTGGTATTTTTAATTTTAGCCATTCAAAAATATGGATAGTGGTAGCTCACTGTACATTTAATCTGCATTTTACTAATAACTAATGATGTTGAGAATCTTTCTGTGTGCTTATTTGACATTTGCGTGTCTTCTTTGGTGAAATGCTTATTCAAATCTTTTGCCCAATTACAAAAAATGGGTTGCTTCTTTTCTTATTGTTGAATTGTTGGGGATTCTTTATAGTTGAAAGTATTCTTTATACATTGAAAGTAAAGGCAAAAACCACAATTATTTTTGCACAAACCTAATATGTTCTGGACACAATTTCTTCATCGGATATATAATGTAATAATATTTTCTCCTAGTCTGTGACTTCTTTTTTCATTCTCTTATTGATGTCTCTCAAATAAAATGAGTTTTAAAAAAACTTTAGTGAAGTCCAATGTACTAGCTTTTGGATCACGCTTTTAGAGCTGTATTTAGGAACTCTTTGCCTACTCAGTCACAGACATTTTTCTCCAATGTTTTCTTCTAAATGTTTTATAATGTGAAGCCTTATGTTAGGTCTGTGACCATAGTGAGTTAATATTAAAATGATGTAAGGATTAAAGTTTATTTGTATGTGGATGTCTAATTGGTTCAATATCACATGTTGAAAAATTCATTCTTTTCTCACTTCATTGATTTTGCACCTTTGTGGGAAATCAGTTTTCCAGATATGTAAGGTCTCTTTGCTTTATATATGTAGGTTTTCTATTCTGTTGCCTTGATTAACCTATCTCTGTGTCAAGACCACACTGTCCTGATTACTGCAACTTGATAACACATCGTGAAATCATACACTGTTAGCCTCCCAACTTTGTTTTTCTCTGTCAACGTTATTTGATTATTTTAGGTCCTGTGTCCACATGAATTTTACCAAAAAATTCTACCGAAAAATCCTCTTGGGATGTTGACTGGTATTGCATTAAATATACAGATCCCTTTTGGGGAGAATTCATTTGTTAACACTATTGAGTCTTCTGACCCATAAATTCAGTGTGTCCATTTATTTAGCTCTTCTCTAATTTCTCTCCACAATGTTTTGTGTTTTCAGTGTACAGATTTTCACCTCTTTTGTCAGATTTATCCCCCAAGGCTTAATACTTTTGAAGGAGTAACAGGTACAGTGTACAGAAATACTATTTACTTCCATTTATATATCTTGTACCTTGCCAACTTGTGAAACTTACTTATTAGTTCTAGTAGCTTTTTTATTAAGATTTTATTCAATTTTCTACATCGACAATCATGCTGTCTGCAGAAAGACAGTTTAATTTCTTTCTTTTCAATATAAGTGTCTTTTATGTTGTACTTTTGTATTGCATTCTTTCTGACCGCGCTGGCTACAACCTGCAATAGAATGTTGAATGCGAGTGGAGAGGGCAGACTCACTGTCTAGTTCCTGACCTTGAAGAAAAAAGACTCAGTCTTTCCTTATTAAATGCTATAGCAGGAGGGAATTTTCTGCTACTAGATTAAGGAAGTTTCAGGTTGAGAACTTTCCCTTCTATTCCTAGTTTGCTGAGATTCTTTATCAAGAATGAATGTAGAGTTTTGTCAAATCCTTTTCTCCATCTATTGAGATGATTATGTGGTTTTTCTCCTTTAGCTTATTAATGTGATAAATTATATAAATTGATTTTTGAATGTTATACCAACCAGACCCCACATGGCTATGAGGAATGTCACTTTCTATAAATTGTTGGATTCAATTTGCTAAAATTTTGTTTAGAATTTTACATCTATGTTCACCAGGGATACTGATCTTTAGTTTTCTTTTCTTGTAGCACCCTTGCTTGTGCTAACAGGGTGATGCTTGTCTCATAGAATGAATTGGAAAGCATTCCCTCTTTTTAGTTTTCTGAAAGAGTTTGTGTAGAATTGGTATCATTTCTTTTTTTAAATATTTGGTAGAATTTATCAGTGAAATGCTCTGGTTTGTAGTTTCCTTTGTGAGAAAATTTAAAATTCAGTTTCTTATTAGAAATGGAAAGTCAGGTTATCTATTTCTTGTTTAGTGAGTTTTGAAAACTTGTGTCTTACAAGGAATTCATCCATTTCATTTAAAACAGGGGTTGGCTCTTAGTCCATGACATGCTTTGGGTCTGCGTCCCCACCCAAATCTCATGTCAAATTGTAATCCCCAATGCTGGAGGTAGAGCCTGATGGGAGGTGACTGGATCATGGGGGCAGATTTCCCTTTAGTGCTGTTCTCATGATAGTGAGTGAGTTATTGTGAGATTTGGTTCTTTAAAAGTGCGTAGCACCTCCCCACCACCCCTTCCTCCTGCTCTAGCTTCCCCGTCACTTTCCGCCATGATTGTAAGTTTCCTGGGGCCTCCCAAGCTATGCTTCCTGTACAGCCTGCAGAACCATGAGCCAATTAAACCTCTTTTCTTTATAAATTACCCAGTCTCAGGTATTTCTTTATAGCAGTGCGAGAACGGACTAGTACAGTCTGCAAGCTAAGAATGTTTTTACATTTTTAAAGGTTGGGGGAAAAAAACCATGACATAGACAATTTGTGGCCCTCAAAGCCAAAAATACTTACTATCTAGTTCTCTGCAGACGAAGCTTGTTCACCCCTGATCTAGGTTGTCAAATCTATTGGCATAAAGTTGTCATAATACCCATGATTATCGTTTTAATCCCTGTACAATCTCTAATGATATCACCTCTTTCATTTTCTATATTCATAAACTGTGCTGTTTTTCCCCACCCACCCCATAAATCTGTTTGGCAATTTTATCAATATTCTCAAAGAATCAGCATTTAGTTTCATCAATTTTCTTTGTTGGTTTTCTGTTTTCTGTTCCACTTTGACTTTCACTATATCCTTTCTTTCACTTATTTTGTGTTTAATTAGCTCTTCTTTTTGTAGTTTCTTAATGTGGAAGCTGAAGTAATTGATTTGAGACTTTTCTTTGTTTCTAACCATAGAGGTTTAGAGCTAAAAGATCCCCCACAATACTGCTTTAGGGGCATTCTTTGGATGTGCTGTATTTCTTTACCTATTCAGTTAAAATACTTTCTAATGACCATTTGATGTATTTGACCCATTCATTATGCAGAAATGTTTTATTTCAGCTTCAAATATTTGGAGATTTCCTACTGATTTATAATTCAATATTTTTATCATTTACATATTTTATATCACTTGAATATTTTTAAATTCATTGAGACTTATTTTACGGCCCAGGGTATGAACTATTTTGCTAAATGTTCTATGTGCACTTAAAAACAATGAATTCTGTTGTTGGGTATGATGCTTTATAAATGTCAATTAGGTCAGGTTGTTTCAAGGGTTGTTCAAATCTTTTATATCCTTCCTGATTTCCTGTCTACTTATTCTATCAATTATTGATGAGGAATGTTGAAAACTCTGACTATTGTGGATTTGTCTGTTTCTCCTATCAGTGTTTGTTTCATGTATTTTGAAAATATGTTATTATTTTCAACAGTTTAGAATTACGACATCTTCTTGATTAGCTGATAAACTGACCATTTTATGATTATCAGATGACCCTCTCTATCCCTGGCAATAGCCTTTGCTCTGAAACTGACTTCGTCTACTACTAATAGAGCCACTCCAGCTTACTTTTGATTTGGGTATTAGTTACTTAGGGCTGATATAAGAAATCTTCAGAAAATAGGTGGCACAAGCAATAGAAATTGATTCTCTCAAATTTCTGGAGGCCAGAAGTCCAAAATCAAGGTATTGGCCTATGCATGCTCCCTCTGAAGAGCATCAGCTCGAAAGGTTCCAAATAGCATCATATAATTCACATAAATTAGGTTTGGTGAGACACTGGGTATGATCCAATCTGGGAAAATTCTTGTCCGTCTGTGGACCTGTGATACTAGAAAACAAGTTATCTGCTTCCAAAATACAATGGTGGGTCAGGCATACAGTAGACTTTCCCATTCCAAAAGGGAGGAAATTGAAGAAATAAAGGAGTTACTGGCCTAAAGTAGGTTTGAAACCCAACAGAGAAGGTTCCATTAGTCTTTAGGGCCAGATAATATTCTCTGTGGCTTGATCCACCCTCTGAGCCCACGAAGACTGAACCAGTCACTGTTTCTGGGCCTACAGAGACCACATTGGCCTCTCATCTATGTCCACTTTTCTGGCCTCTGCCTCTGGAGGTCTTTCTTTTCTTTTTCTAGAAAGGTAGAACATGTCTGTAGTTGAGCAGTTCTATCAGCCTGTTTTCTGCCTGTAGAAGCCTAGAAGTTCAACTGCCTTCTTTCATTTCATTCTGTCTCTGTTCCCTTCAGTACAAGCGGTCAGTGTTTCTGCTGATATAATGCTCTCAGAAAGCTTGTTGCTCTCCTGTGCCTGCCGTGAGATCCATACTATTACACGAGAGGATTCTGAATGGATCCTTCCTGGATGACCCATCTCTATTGCTGGCCTCTGCTGAGATGGTTGCTTGGGTCCATGAGTCACAGGCCTCATCTCTTCAGCAAAGGTTTGTCCAGCCACACCCTTGGCCACATTGTCTGGAGCATATTATCTGGATAGGTTGAGAATTTTCCAAATCAAGTACTCA
This sequence comes from Homo sapiens, assembly GCF_000001405.40. Taxonomy (NCBI): domain Eukaryota; kingdom Metazoa; phylum Chordata; class Mammalia; order Primates; family Hominidae; genus Homo; species Homo sapiens. The sequence continues at coordinate 10,897,499 of NC_000010.11, read as the reverse complement.
TCCTTCTTTGTTTAATAGTTACTCCCTCAATTTTTTTTTCTTTCCTCTCTCATTTTGCCATAAGCAATAAGGAGAAAACAGCCCACATTTTCTACATTTTTCTTGGAAATCTCTTCAGCTAAATTCCCAAGTTTGTTGCTACAATTTCTACTTTCCACCGGACCCTACAAGGCAATTCAGCTACATTTTCTACCTCTTTCTAAAAAGCATCCCCTTTCCTCTCATGCCTGATAACATATTTCTTTTGAGACCTCACCAGAAGCACCTGAAATATTCTAATTTCTACCAACAATCTATTCATGATGATATAGGTATTCTCTAAAATGATAGATGCTTTCTCTGCCATGGTCTTCACTTCTCACTGAGCCTTCACCAGAAACATCTTTAGTGCCTGTATTTCTACCAATAATCTCTTCAAGGAATTCTAGGCTTTTTTCTGTCATGGTGCCTCAAAATTCTTCCAGCCTTTACCCATTACCCAATTCCACAGCCACTTCCACATTATTAGGTATTTGCACAATAGCACCCCATTTCCCAGTACCAAAATCAACGTTAGTTTCCTAAGACCATCATTACTAATTACAGATGGTCCCAGTCTTACAGTGGTTCAACTTACAATTGTTCAACTTCAGAATGGGTTTATCAGGATGAAACCCTGTCCTAAGTCAATGGGCATCTGTACCAGAAACAAGGTGCCTTCAAACAACAGAAATTTATTCTGCACAATTCTAGAAGCTAGAAGTTTGAGACCGAAGTGCTGGCAGGGTCATCCTCTGGTCTGAAGATTCCAGGGAGTAACATCTTGTCTCTTCCTACCTTCTGATGTTTGCTGAGAACCCATGGCATTCCTTGGACGGCAGCTGCATCTCTAGAGTCTCCGCCTCTGTTGTCACCTGTCCTTTTCTGTGTGTTGTCTGTGCCTCTGTGTCTCCTCTTTTCTTCTTATAAGAATACTGGCCATATTGGATTTAGGGCCCACCCTAATCTAGTGTGACCCCATCTTAACTATTTATATCTCCAAAGACCCTATTTCCAAATAAGGTCATATTCGAGATTCTGGGTAGACTTGAATTCTTCACAGACACTATTCAACCCAGTACACATGGTGTATCTTTTTTTATCCTTTCCTTTTTAACCTGTTTATATTTTTATATTGACAGTGCATTTCTTGCAAGCAGCATATAATTGGATCTTGCTCAATTAATGGCTTATAACCTCCATTGTGGAGGCAAGACCCTTCTATGTGCTGTACCCACCGCCCTGTGGATCTTGAGGTGTTCCTGTCTGGCTGATGGGAATGGGCACTCTTTTCAGCCCTGTGTGACTACCAGTCACTATGACCTTTAATCCTTTCAAGTGGTTATCTCCCCAGCTTCCAGTAGTTTCTTTACATGTATACATCAATCAGTACTAAGCTAAGTACTAAAGGGGGACTTTCTACAGATCTCTGAAGTTTTCACACTACATAGCTCTCAGCTCTCTAGTACTCTCCTGTGAATTCTAGCCACCTTAGTCTTCTTGGACTCTCAGCTTTGTTTCCTCAACTAAGAGAGTCTACCAGCCTCCTTCTTCCCCTTCCAAATACCTCAAGCCATGGCCTGGAAACTCTCTCAAAGCAGTAAGCTTGGGGAGCTTAGAGTTCATCCCATTTGTTTCCCATCACTGAAAGATCACTGCCCTTCATTGTCTGTCTTCCAGTGCCTTGCAAACTATTTTTTTTCCAAAAGTATGATTTATTAATATATGTTAAAAATGTATTTAATATATTTTGCCCATGTTTTTGGTTTTTCATCAGACAGGAGAATAAATTTAGTCCATGATACTCCATCTGGGTCAGAAGCAGATATCCTGCAGTTGTATTTTTGGGGACTGGAAAATAAATTGTGAAATTGAAATTTTCTTGAACTGGAAAAGGTTTGTCCAGCCACACCCTTGGCCACATTGTCTGGAGCATATTATCTGAATAGGCTGAAAATTTTTCAGATCAACTACTGGTCCTTCTTTGTTTCATAGTTCTTCCATATTTTTTCTGCTTCTGCTTTCATTTTGCTATGAGCAACAAGGTGAAAACGGCCATACTTTCTACATTTTTCTTGGAAATCTCTTCAGCTAGATTCTCAAGTTTGTTGCTCACAATTTCTACTTTCTACCAAACCCTATAATGCAATTAAGCTACATTTTCTGCTCAATTTCAGGTAAGGTAAAAAATGTATAGGGTGGATAACACTGTCAAATTCACATCAAGATGGTGAATATTTCTTACTTGGGAAAATATCTTTATGGGGTAAGTCAATAAAGGACATCAGGAGGCAGCTGGGCTCAGGGGTTTGATCTCCTGGGTTCAAATCTTGGTACTCTAACGTATCTATCAGCTGTGCGACTTCAGCCAGGTTATGTCACCTTTGCACCTCAGTATCTCGTCTGTGAAATTCAGATAAATCTGGACTCTTGTAAGGATTTAATGTGATATCACTCAGTACAGTGCCAGGCATATAGTAGCTAGCACATTTGATTCTCAATGAATACGGACTCATATTATTATAAGTTTCACTTCATAATATTACCTGGAGACTACAAGTGGAACAATGTAAGAGAAATTATTTGCAAACACAGCACTGGGATTTTTAAATGGACAGACATTTTCCGGTTTATAAACAGAGTATGAAATCATAGTAGATTTCCGGTGTGCCCATCAACAGAGTGAATTCACCATAAGGTAGAAATCTACTGCCCTGCACTCTAAGTTTGTGAATAGGATTAGCACCATTTATAAATATGATGCCTGACAGGCTTCCTATGCTCAATTCATTTTTTTTTCTTTCAGGTGGCACATTTTATAGTCAATCATAGTGGATCCTTCTTTCTAGTTAATTGTACATTTCCTAAGTTTGGACAAACTTTTATGATCAACTGCCTAAAATTCCGTCCTACTGGTGTGATTGAAACCAGGGCCTGGGACGTCTGTGTGCTAAAGGAACTTTCACATTATCTTTTCAACTTTGCCATATATCTGTGGCTTTGATAAAGTGGATCCACTTCAGAACAATGCCAGACAAATCAAGTTACTCAGAATCTCATGATATGGTCAGGCTACTTACAATATCAAAGCTTAGTCATTTTAGACATTACATTAAATCCATCAAGTTGGTGCCCTTGAGCTGGTGAGAGGATTCATCATCGGAAATCGAGTAACATGGTACCAGCTCTCAGACCCCAATTTTATTCTATTTGGCTCTTTATAATCCATTTTAAAGTTCATATTATACCTCCTCTCTGCACTTCAAATATTGGCCTCTTGCCCAAAGTGGTAAACTTCTGAGCTTACTTCCAATTCTTTTTTTTGCCCAAAATGAAAAATCTATCATTTGGCCTTTTTTTTTTCTCCTGTCCCATAAGAATCAGGTTAAAAACTTTTTTTGTTGTTAAAATTGTCTGTAAGCTTCTGACTCACATTCATTTCTGTTATGGTTAACATAGTCATTCTGCTCCAAGAACGCTCTCTGATTCCAGAAACCATGAAGAGCTCCTAGTGCTTGCCTTCTGATATGGTTTGGATCTGTGTCCCCACCCAAATCTCGTGTTCAATTGTAACCCCCAGTGTTGGAGGCAGGGCCTAGTGGGAGGTGATTAGATCATGGGGGGAGGTTTCTCATGAACAGTTTAGCGCCATCCCCTCGGTGCTGTTCTTGAGATAGTGAGTGAGCTCTCACGAGATCTGATTGTTTAAAAGTGTACAGCACCTCCCTCGTCCGTCTCTTGCTCCTGCTCCCACCTTGTGAGGTGTCCCACTCCCTTTTTGCCTTCTGCCATGACTGGAAGCTTCCTGAGGTCTCCTTGGAAGCAGAAGCCACTATGTTTCCCATACAGCCTGCAGAACCATGAGCCAATTAAACCACTTTTCTTTATAAATTACCCCGTCTCAGGTATCTCTCTATAGCAATGTGAGAATGGATGAATACACCTTCCTAGACTGGGTTTGCTCTGGGGACCCTGTACAGTAGACGAAGCCATAGTTTTAGGTCCTGCAGCCCCACACAAGTCCACAGTGGTGACTTGTAAATCTTGCCTCCTACTCCTGCCTGACTCCTGGGTTTAAGCTGTTGATCTCATGAGAGTTGATCTGGAAACCACTTGGATGGCAAAGGAACTGTTGGAAGCCTCATGTATCATGGCACTTCCATAATCTTAGGGCTCAAATAATTAAGCTCTTTCTCTATGTGTAATTACAGTCAAGCTGCTCAGGAACTTGCTGTGTGGCCTTGACTGAGTAATCCACCCTCTCTTGTGTCTCTGTGTGAAATGCCCTGCCTCTGCAAAAGAAGAATGTTATTGACTGCCCTCATTGGGATTTGGGCTGGATTAATTTGCTGCTGTATTTTAAAGGGCAGTTAATTCCAATTCTTGCTTCAAAGCAAAGTGTTAGAATGTTCTGCTCTAATGTTATCCAGGGTGTCCACAAGAAACCAGTGTTAAGAAGGATGCAATAAGAGAAAACAACCATAAGAAAAGAAGGATGACAAAAAAATGATATCAACATTTTCCTCTTTCTTTGTTTGACTTTCAGGTCCCGTCACCTCTACCTGAATGTAAGGAATAACCAGGCTCCATCCTCCTTGACAAACATATTTTCCTGTGTTAGCTTTACACAATAACAACAAAAATCATCTCTGTGTGCTTTCTCTCCTCTATGTCAATACCCAATGCCTTCCTCCATGGTAGATTTACAAAACGTAGGAGCAAGGCTGGCAGTTTTCCAGTGAATTGGAACAACATGTAGAGCCTGGCAGTAGATCTGGGGAATGACACATTGTCCAAGTTCACTGCATGTCCCAGATAGTTCAAATCACAATGGGAACTTATTTTCCATTCCTACAGAAGGCAAATAACAACAATGAAAGCTCCACTAATGAGAATGAATGTGGAATGGGACATTTTGATAAACGGAGATTTCTATTTCTAGACTTTGTGGTTGAAACTCTTAAGTGTGAAGCAATTCACTGTGAGTCGGCTCAGTCTACAGGAACAAAAAAGGGTGCCTTCCATTTGTGGATGGAGGGGATCTGAAGAGTCTCATGCTGAACATGAGTGTGTGCTCCAGGTCAGGCCAAGGAGATGAGGAGCTCTGGGGAATGAGGTAGAAAGACCAGCCACAGGGTAGAGCACTGGAACCTGGGCCCAGGTGGGTGAGTGACCTTGGCCAAGTAACTGGACATCTCTAGTCTCTAGGGAAGCTTCCTGCCTAAACCTGATTGTGACCCTGAAAATAGTCTAGAAGCTGTTTGGGTTTTTAGCAAATCTATGCTTACCCCTATGCTTCTTTTCTTACTTATGTCTTGCTTTCTTAATTATTTCTTGCTCTCAAAAGTGGAGTTCAAGAAAGCAACCTGAAACAAGAGTTTCTATTTATTTGGGCTCTAATTAAATAAAGGTTTTTTTTGCATATCATTGCTTGTGCTACTTGATGAATGTCTATGTCTTGAAATAATAGAAAATCATTAAGGCAAACATATTTTAAAGAATAAGCCTTGCAAGCAATGCTGCTCAAGAGTGAATGGTTGTCAGACCTTAGATTTTTCTAGCACTCAGTATATACTGTGCTATTTGCTCCTCCCAATGATCCTGCGAGGATTGACAGCCCAATTTAACAACACTTTCCAGATGAGACAACAGACTTAGAGTGATTAACAGACTCTTCCAAGATCACAGAGGTGATAAGTGACAGAACTGAGACCAGAAGCCAGAGGTGATCTGACCTTGAGGCCTGTAGCTCTGTAAATCCATCCAGTCTGCCCGTGCAGCTAATAAACAGCGAAGCAGCCGCATCGAGTCATGGAATGAACCGAGGCCTGAAGTCAAGTCTGGGTTGAAGTCCAGCTCTGCCTCTTAAAAACTCATGTCTGAGTCATGTCAACATCTGAGCAGCAGTTTGTTCGTTTGAAAAATGAGAAACATGACACATACCTCTCAGGGTTGTTGCAAGGATGAAATTACAAGCTCTAACGTTTGTAAGTATCTAGTATTGCATCTGGCACAGAGAAGACATTCGGTAAAAGGTGCTGCTGCTGCTGATGACAATAATGATGATGATGAAAGAGAAATCTTTGAGATTTTTGTCATGTGCAATATTAAGAGCTATTCTTTCAACTTTGTCTTAGAGGAGGCAACAGCATTTCTTCCATGGAGTTTGCCTATCAGGCTAAGTTAGTGTTGCTTGCTCCCCAGACGCCCTTATTTGGCTAAGGATTTATATGAGAGAGAGTGAACAGCAGTATATTCCCAGTTGCTTACATTAATGTATGGGAAGGCAGTACAAATAATCCTAAACAGATAATCCAAAAATTACTTACATTTGTTCTTAGCTGGAGTCTGTATGTCTAATCGTCTGGAAATAACTTTAAACATATGAAAAAAACTCCACTGAATATTCAGCTTCCCTACTAGGCTGGGTTTTGTTGTTGTTGTTGTTGTTGTTGTTTGTTTTTTTGAGATGAAGTCTTGCTCTTGTCGCCCAGGCTGGAGTGCAATGCTGCAGTCTCGGCTCACTGCAACCTCCACCTCCCAGGTTCAAGTGATTCTCCTGCCTCAGCCTCCCGAGTAGCTGGAATTATAGGCACCTGCCACCACGCCCAGCTAATTTTTGTATTTTTAGTAGAAAAGGGGTTTTACCATGTTGGTCAGGCTGGTCTTGAACTCCTCACCTCAGGCGATCCGCCCGCTTTGGCCTCCCAAAGTGCTGGGATTACAGGCATGAGCCACAGCGCCCAGCCTATGCTGGTCTCTTTAATCACTTTCCTGTCTCTTCTCTGTTGTGGAAATGGAAGAAACACTTTGCGCATGGATGTGGAGAACAACTAAAACCAGCTTCACCTCTCAGCAAAAGTGCTACCTTTCAAGGCAGAGAGGTGCTTAGTGCTTCAAACGAAGTTTACTTTCAACAAATGAGCAAATCCTAAACAACCCTAAATTTCATCCATGTCCATCAGACTGTGGGGAAAATCAGTAAAATTATCAAGTAATCATTTCAATAATTGTAATAATGCACAACTGAATTTTATACTATGCTTTGTAGTTGACAAAGCATTTTTTTGCCATGACATTTTGTAAGGTGGTCTAGACCAGCAGCTGGTGAGGGGCGGGGCATGCATTCCCACATCCTTAATTCTCAGTCTGTGGGCCTTCCTTTCTACTTTACTGTCCATGATGTAGACAATTCACCTTTGAGCGATCCATGCCTAGACATAAAGTTATATGGAAATACCCCTGATTCCAGAAAGCTGGTCAATACCTGTATAGATCATCTTCAAACCTGATATATCATTATTCTCCTTCTCTTTGGCTGTTCATTTTACTGTTATTTTGAACTAAAGAGAAAAAAGTCATGAGAACTCATCATATCTACATGCCACTGAAATTCTATCAGTTGCAGTTTAGGGGAAAAAAACCCCTCCTCATTGTGACCCTGACCCCATCGTTTCCATCTCAGGAAACTGTATACTTTTGATTTTAGCATAGAAGATGAAGATGAATGTTGATCCACATCAGTATAGGACTCTCCTAGTGTAAATGCCCCACATTTATCATGCACAGGAAAGACTGTACACTCTTCCAGGAAGAAAAATGGTCCCCGAAAATTCCAGATGGGCTATTGACTTTTCTTAGAATCAGAACCACGGTTTAAGTTGTGCTACTTTGGAAGACTCTCCTATGCAATACTCTTGTGTTATGCTCCCCTCCTAGGGCTGGGGCAGGAGGAAGGATACTTTTATGTTTTCTTGACCAGCAGGTATATGCTTGCAGGTGGCAGAACTAAGTTCTTAATACCAGTGCCCATGCCAGGCTAGCTAGATCTGCACATTTGCTCATGAGTTTTATTAGAAAGCAAAAGTCAGACTGACATGGGTCAGAGACGGCTGGAGGTCTTTTGAGAGAAGACATAGCACCTGAATCTTGCATGTTTCTGATGATCAGACATTCTCCAGTTCTGATAGAGTATATGCAAAACCTCTGATTTTAATGAAGAAACTACTCACAATAATATATACTTGCTCAGGGACAGCAAAAAAATTTCTTTTAAAAGGTATTAGGTGCAGTGATAAACATCAGCCTATTTATCACTGTTTTGTATCATGCTGCCTAGAAAAGAAAAACCTCAGAGCCCCATAAGTGGAGTACAGTATATGATTTTATTTGAAACTTCATTACATGTAGATTAACCCCTGCGAAATGGCTCCATCACATGGCATTACTGGGAAGAGGTGAAAACAACAAGAAAGCAAATCCATGGATTTCAGAGTGAAAATCCCTTAGGCTTAGTTTCTTCTCTGTTGGATCTACCCACATGAACATTTTATATTAGAGGATTTTAAGTTTCACAACCTCTTTCTGCTTTCTTCATCACAGAAGGTTTTACATTAAGAGTTTTGCATTTCTGACAAGAGAAGAAATAAAAGGAGGGTGATGGGGTGTGCCTTTGGCTGGTTGGTGTCCCTTCTCTGGGCACAAATTCATTCAATTATTTAATAAGCACTAAGAGTCTATGATTTGCTTGGGTAGGGCAGGAAGACAAAGATAAGAGTGACATGGTCCCCGCTCCAAGAAGCCTATGAACTACTGGGGGAGACAGACCATGTTATATTTAAATAACGAATCAGTTATGAAAGATATATGTACAACGTGCTGAAAGGTTTCAGAAAAGAAGTTACTCACTAATTTTGGCGAGAGATGGTAATAACTGTTTGTTCTGGGTCTTGAAGGGCAAGCCCGAGGTTACTAGAAGAAAAAGAGTGTTTGAGGCAGAGAGCACAGATCAGGCGAAGGCATGGAGGTATGAAAACACTGCTCAAGCCTGGGGCATGCAGACTTTCCAAGAAGGCTTCAGCCCTAGGCTCACGGAACACAGAGAATAGTTGCTGAATGAGGCTGGACAAGGAATGTCTTGGTTTTTTCGTTACCCACAAAAAATCTTTTATGTAAAACGAAGTCTCTGTTTTCCATTTGTTAGTCTCAGAAAGATCCAAATTCACTGATCTAACTGGTCCTTATAATTCAATACTGCACGATAATCACATGGCAATTTTTAGCTATGATTAAAGTTATGGTGTGAGATGAAACTGTTCCCCCAACTCATCCCCCAAGAGAATTCAGTCTACAGGGGTGCCTGTGCCTGTGCCATGCTCTTCCCACCCTGCGTGCACGATTAAATTTCCTTCAGAATGTGTCCAGTAAGCAAGTCTTGCCTAGAAGGAATGTCTATGTTCTTTCTGCTCCCATCTAACCCAAGGTGATTTTTCACCATTTACATCTCTTGTCCTTTAGAAATTCAGTAATGTAAATCATTTGCTATGTCATCCATAAATCTTGTGCACATGTACATCTTGACATCCTAAACCATCCCCCACATACAGTTAGTGCATCAAAAGTCTACACAGGCTGGGTGCGGTGGCTCACGCCTGTAATCCCAGCACTTTAAAAGGCCAAGGCGGCCAGATCACTTGAGGTCAGGGGTTTGAGACCAGCCTGGCCAACATGGTGAAACCCCGTCTCTACTAAAAATACAAAAAATTAGCCGCGTGTGGTGGCGTATGCCAGTAATTCCAGCTACTCAGGAGGTTGAGGCAGGAGAATCGCTTGAACTTGGGAGGTGGAGGTTGCAGTGAGCCGAGACTGTGGCATTGCACTCCAGCCTGGCGACAGAGCGAGACTTTGTCTCCAAAAAAAAAAAAAAATAAAAGTCTACACAGAACAATTGCATTTTCCTCTTTCCTCTGAAAAGTTTCCCAGACAATTTTAAATGTTTTGTTTCAGTGTTCCACCAGAAGCTTTGATGTATGAATTTCTAAGAAAAAAAGGACTAGAAAAATTTTTTCCAAGTGTGCATAATATTCTAAAAGTGGTTACAAAAAAATAGACCAACAGCCGAACAGATAATCTCTATCATGCAAACATGGGTTTTGGTACTATTAGTATTTGTTTTTCCCACTCAACAGAAGCAAAATCAATTGGACAAGCGGCCTAGTCAATTCAATTGAACTTTGCAAACTACCACCCTGTCATAATAATATGCGCTGAAACGCCTGCCTGAACTGCTTACATAACACAGCTCTTATCACATGAGATTTATCAGCAGCCACATTTTTCTTCGTAGGCTGGAGCCCAGTGAAGTCAATGGTGAAAGAGTCCTATTAATCACAGTTGAACTTCACGTGCTATCTGTGATACCTTGTAAAAAGGAAGGTGATAAAAAAGATGCATAGTGACACTGACTGTCAGAAATGCTTACGGGATGATGTGCCTGTATCTGATGGCTTTGCAAGTTGGATTGGCAGTCTACATTCTACAAGTGGAGCTTAGGAAAAAAAAAAAAAGAGTAACAATGCTACAAATCTGGGAAGGAATAGCTCTAGGCTTCTGCCAGTCCCCGGTTATTTTAGACCTGGCGACAGGGAGTTAATGCATGAGAGACTGCCAAGGCAGCCATTTGAAACTGCAAATTCAGGAAGCTGTGACACCCAGGCAAAAATCTGTCTCCCTCTCCCACCCCACACCCCAAACCTCAGCTCATCTAGAAATGCAATTTCTGTGACTGTCCCTTGCTTGGCATACCACAAACAGCTTATAAATAATGTCAGCCCCTCGCTCATTAATTCTGTTTTTTGTTGTTTTCTGAGACAGGGTCTCACTCTGTCATCCAGGCTGGAGTGCAGTGGTGTGATCACAGCTCACTGCCGCCTTGACCTCCTAGGCTCAAGAAATCCTCTCACCTCAGCTTCCCAGGTAGCTGGGACCACGGGCATGCACCCACATGCTGGGCTAATTTTTTATTTTTTGCAGAGATGGTGTCTCACTGTATTGCCTAGGCTGGCCTTGAACTTCCAGGCTCAAGCCATCCTCCTGCCTTGGCCTCCTGAAGGGCTGGGATTACAGGCATGAGTCCCATGCCCAGCTTCATTTCCTTTTTTAATGCACATACACGTTCAGGCTCTCGTTCAGTTGTCAGACTCTTCTTCGTGTATCTGTGCAACAGTCTCATCTGTCAACAATGTAAATATCAGGAGGGCAGCCCTTCTGTTGGCACTTTGCCTATATTCTGCATGTCTCAGTGTTCAGTGAGAGTTCTAAAATAATGAGGCTCAAATTTGTTTATGAAAGGCTGTTATATTATATTATATTATCATTTTGGGTGATGGTCTTCTCCAAATAGCTTTGTCTTGAAGCAACAGTTAAAGGGGTAACAGATGGTCAAGTGACTTATGCTGGTATAACTAACTTGGGCTAAAAACAGTGCCTGATACACAGACTCAATAAATACCTACAAAAAGAGAGGAAGGAAGAAAGGAAGGAAAGAAGGAGGGAAGGGTAGGAATGAAGGAAGGCAAGAATGAAGCAAGGAAAGAAAATGACCCTGGATAGAATATTAATTTAAAATATAAAAGACCACCCATCCAGATTATTAGAACACGTGGGAAAGATGAGTTCTTTCTGCTATCATGAGATATGGACTCATGTTCTTCCAAAAACATCCACAGTCTAATCCCTGGAACTTGTGAAAATTTTATTTTGTATGGCAAAAGGGGTTTGCAGATGTGATTAAATTAAGGATCTTAAAGTGCAGGAGAATGAGGGTCATAGGAGGAGACTAGCAGATGGGAGATGGGAAGCAGAGGTCAGAAAGAAGAGATCTGAATGTTACACTGCTGGCTTTGAAGATGGAAGAAGAGACCAGGAGCCAAGCAGTCCAGGTGACCTGTGGAAGCTGGGAAAGGCACATCAATGAATTCTTTCTAGGACCTCTGGAAGAAATCCTGAACCATAAGATAATAGATTTACATTGTTTCATGCCACTACATTTGCAGCAATTGGTTACAGCAGCAACAGGAAAGTATTACATAATATTTCCATTTTGTTTACCAGGGGCTTATGGAGACATTTTTGTGTAATTTTTAAAAAAACTGTTCTGTGAGCTTGCTTCCTTTATGTAAGTATTTTTATAAACTTCAGGAAGTCAGAGGAGGTTTGTTATACAGTTCATCACAATAAATTCTTGTCTTCTGCTTGTTTCCTGCTAATCTGGAGCCTAGATTCTAGATTTAGACTAGAACTGCACTTATATTTCTCACATAATTTTTAAAAACAAACATCTACCATTTGATAACTTTTCTTCTAGAAAGCATTTTTCTCCAGCATATACACTAGCGTGAAGCAAATACCTACATATAGTCTGTAAAGACCTATCATTTTATCTTTTTTGTTTTTTTTTTGAGACAGTGTCTCACCCTGTCACCCAGGCTGGAGTACAATGGCACAATCTTGGCTCACTGCAACCTCCACCTACCGTGTTCAAGCGATTCTCCTGCCTCAGCCTCCTGAGTAGCTGGGATTACAAGCAAACACCACCACGCTCAGCTAATGTTTTGTATCTTTAGTAGAGACGGGGTTTCACCATGTTGGCCAGGCTAGTCTCAAACTCCTGACCTCATGATCTGCCTGCCTCAGCCTCCCAAAGTGTTGGGATTACAGGCATGAGCCACTGTGCCCAGATACCCTATCATTTAATCTTAAAAATCACTTACTAAGTGCTTAGCATGTGCTAGATAAATGCCATGGCAGAGAAGGCCACAATAAGCATGCCACAATGAGCATGCATGTACACAGAATAATCACTCAACACAAAAAGACCAAGGTGCCCAAAGTCATACACAGTGGCACTGTATAGAAGTGCAAAGGCTTCTAAACTAGCTGGGCCCTAGTTTGTCCAGATTTCCTCAAGTTCAGGAAAACAGTATGAGTAAGGAGTTGTGGTCATGTAAGTATAAGACATATTCTAGAAATGGCAAGAAGTCAAGGATAGTTCAAGCACAGTGTATGGGTGTGTGTGGGTCTTGAATGTATGGGTAGGCAAAAGAGTAGTACACATGAAACATATAAAGGGTAGGATAAGTTCTGTTCATAATATTAAAAGTCCTATTAAAGAATGTGGACTTTCTTTTGCATACATGAAATAAAAAATTAGGGAAATCTGGGAGTGCAGCATCATTCACGTTTGTGTGAACTCATACTTTGACCTTTGACATTTAAAAGCAGGTTTAGCAATGGGCAATGGTTAAGTTCAAAATTGGGGTGGGAAACATCACACAATACCTTCCAGATTGTCCAAACCACTTCTGACAGTGGCTGGTATGCACAGGTTCTACTTTCCCAAAGCCAGCCTCTAGAAAATACACAGCTCCCTCATTTAGGAAAACCCCATTTAGTCACAGCTGTTCTTCATAGAGTCACTGTTACAGAGCTTTGAAAATGGAAAAGGACCTTCAAGATGATCGTTTACTCACTCTTGGCTGTTTTTATTTCGTGGTGTTATTCTTTTTTCTTTCCATTTACAATGGAAACAAAAGGAGAGCAAGAAAGAAGATTGTGAGGTTCCTTGCAGATTCCTAAATCATATTCCCAAACAGCTCCTGACAAAGAGGAGGAAGACAAAGAGGAAGAGCAGGAGGGAGGGGAGGAGAAGGAAGAGGTGTAGAGAGAGGAGGACAAAAGTAAGAAGGAGGAGATAAAGAGGATGAGGAGGAGGAGAAGGAGGAGGAGGAGGAAGAGGGGGAGGAAGAAGAGGAGGAGGAGGAGGAGGAAGGAAATTATGAGAATGCCTAGCCCTCATCATCTGTTCAATGCTAGTAGCAGAAGCGAAACATATTAGGCAAAACCATATGAAATTGCATTTTTGTGGGTCAATATGGTCAAATATCAGCAAGTGGCCTTGGCTGTACCCATCTTTCTCCCCAACTTTCCACCCTTGAGATGAGTTTCTCACTACCACAGGACTCCGCACCGTCTCAGTACAGCAGATGAGTCCAACAACAGCACTGGCCATGGATCCTGTCCCCTTCACAAAGTCACTCTGGCCAGGGACAGCATGAGAAGCACACAACTACACTCCCCAGAGCCTAAAAATGCCATTCCGGGTGGCAGCATCCATGATGACTGTTGGGATCACACAGCGAAAAAATCAAGAGGGCCAGTTTCCGTAGACAACACACATTTAAATGAAGAATCTGTTAGAGCTGCCATTGGATTGCAGCATGACTGCTTGAATAAAACATTATTTTCCTTATACAGGATAGAAAATTTTGGAACACGAAAAATGCTGTACTTCTCAAATTTTATTGCTTAAACGCTCAATTTATGTAAGGAATTTTAAAGCTAAAAGTAAATACAATGTAGCTCAATTAACATTTAGCCTCATTATTTTTCTGTAGGTTTTTAAACATGTACATATTTGCTCCTCTAGTCAAAGTGTTAATTTGCTAAGCTCTATAAAGATATTTCTCTTGAAAAGTAAAATGGATATACATGGGTCTGTTACTAGATTAGCAGAATGACAGAGTATTTTTGAGTATTGTGTAATGGCCTGTTAAAATACAATAACAATGAAAGTAAACTATTAGTCTTGCTCCTGGTGCTACCTTATCTTAATTAATAAGTGTGGAACTGACATTTCAAGAGACAGGAAGAATGACAATAAGCCCCTTCGCCATCTTATCATGCCCAGAGCTTATAAACCAGGGGAAAGTGAACTTTACTATTTAGTCATGACAAGATCATATTATTATAACAGAAGATTCCTAGTCTGAGGGTGCTTTATGGGGACAGGCAAAGAGATCAAAGGTTAGCAGTGCACCCAGAACTTGATTTTTTTTATTTGATATTTTAAATTTTGGAATAATAGAATAAAATAATAGGAGTAAAATAATAAAATGCACTTTATTTATCAAGGGCCCAAATCACAAGAAAATCTTACGGAGAAAATTCACATGAGGCAAACTGTCATTAAGTATGATATTTTCCCTCTCTTAACACGCTAGAGAGGTTCTCTCATCAATGAAGGAATTGCTTTTTAGAGCAATAAAACCCCATGGAATAATTCAATTTGTTCATGTTAGCAGAGGGATTTTCCAATAATTAAATGAGTTTCATGAGAAAGACAGGACACATTTTCGTAGCTATGAATGAGGATTAAACCAATAGAAACTTCCTTCCCTGTTCAGACAAGTAATTTAGTGACAACAGAACACCTTCCCTTTGTGGTCAAGTCACGACAGAATGGAGATACATTTAAGAAAACAAACTACGAGGGAAACCACATTTCAGTTCTGCTCTTGGATGGCAATTTCAGCCAGAGGAGGCCACTCCGGGGATTCACTGCCTGCTTTCTTCTTCCCTTACTTCCTTTCTTCATTGAGGTCTTTGGACCTCACTTTTCTGATTAATTGCTTCATGTTATAAGACTGATTATAAGAATGTTATAAGACATGATTACAAGAATGAAATCATGAGTCACAAGATGCAAGCCAATAGCAGTCTAAACAATGTTGATAACCATTCTGTGGGAAATGGGGAAACCAGCCAAATAAATGGATATGGTAACGATTGCATTTTCAGAGTTAGGATAGCAATCCGCTGGCTTTGCCAGATTCACTTTCTGCCCATTTCTCCTGAAGTGGACTTAAAAACATGTTAAAAGATGCCAAAATGCAGTAATACTACATACAAAAGGTGTCAATTGAAATATTACTAATCTTTGGGAGAAATTGCCCCCAATCTCAAAACAAGATGGAACATATTGAAGATGGAGTAATATCCAGTCATGCCTACACTTCGGAAACCTGATAAAGTGGATAAATGACTGTTAGGCAGCGGCAGTTTTGTCTGGCATATGCATAACAACTTGCTCTTAAGTACCACATCTGAAAAAAAGGGATTCTAGCAGCACCGGGTGGACTCTGAGAGATGACTCTTTCAGTATAAGACACACCTGTACACATATGAAGACTTTCAAAATGTCAAAGACTAAAGCAAAATATTCTCATCAAAAGTCAGATCGGGAATTTAGCTGACTCATAACATTTCATTTCTTAAAAATAAAGAAAGGAAATCTGAGTTACATATGAAAAATGTTTCAGGATGCTAAATCTGGAGGGTGGGTTTACCTTTGTCTAATGCTACAAATCTTTGGAGAGAGGCATTAAGTTTGAAGTATCTCATATTTTACTAACAGCTGGTCTCCCTAGCCAGACTCTCTTTCACAGCTTTAAACTTCAGGAAAAAAATGAAGTTAAAAATTTATTTTTATTCTGAAGGAAATAGGTAGTTACTCATGAATTCTGTACGCAGCCAGATGGCTTTCAGATTTTAAGGCAACTGTAAGTCTTGCTTGGACATGCGAGGTCTCTCAAAATATACCATCCATGCACCAGTTCTGAAAATGTATGTAAATTTATTCCAGTGATAAGTGAGATGAATCAAAAGCAAGAACTTACGCATAGCAGGCAAGTCCAAGGACAGAGGGACAGTGGTGAGCAACTGATCAAGGTGAGGCCATAGAATCACGTCCTAGTAACAGTCGTAAGTGAAGTTGCAAAATTAAACATGCATGTTAAACAGTTTCTGGAAGAATCTATTTACTGTAGCAATCACCGGGGTCTGGAATTCCATGTGACATGAAGAAGGTGGGTGGAGAAAAATGGAACACACTAAGTTTCTCACTATAAATAAGGAAGAATAAAAAATGGTAGTCCTTGAATCCTTTGAGTACATAAGACTTTTCTACCTTCCAGAAATATACCTTCCTCATCACTGGAAAAAATAAAAGCAGAAAATAAGACAAAGAATTCGGGAAACAGGCACAAACATAGAATGTACAAAATATGGCAGAAATTAGCCCAACTATTTTGGTTAAGACAAAAAACATCCTGTTTCAAGAAATTTGCTTCCACTCCACTCTGCCTAAACAGAGAGGCTTATTCTACTTCTGCTGGCTTTGGCCTAGTTGCTTGGTCCTTCCTTTTGGTGTTTCCCAGTCTGTTCGCTTCTTAGCTTCAGAAATTATGCCTTCCTGTAAAATCCATATGCTCAACATATTTTAGTCATAGAGGCTGAAGCCAGTATCCGTAACACCCCAAATCTCACTTGAAGGATTCTCGGGTAAGAGTCAGTCCGAAAAAGATGCGGTTAAGGAGATAGGCTCCTTAGCACCCTTCTCTATTTCACCATCCTAAGGAATGAGGTCAGATAATTTCCTGCGTACACTGATCACCCCTATTTTCTTCCTGTTCAGAATATTCAGGCCTCCAAATCATGGTACATTTATCTTTTCAGCCACTTGCAAGTTCAAGGACAGCAGAAACTATAACGTGGGCCCCCTTAACAGCAGGCATGGGAGAAAATCTAAGTCTTCCCAAGCCCAAATTTCATGTTTCTCCTCCCTGGTAGGCCCAGCCCCTCACAGTCTCTGTAGGACTTGCAGGAACCAATCTTTTGTCAAGAAACTAGTAACAGTCTCCTCTTGTGCTGTTTCTCAAATCATGGCGATGTTCTTGTATTTAGTTATTCCTAGACTTACGATTTATGCTCCTTGAAGAGAGGAACCGTTTCTTACCCTTCCTGATTCCCATTAGATTGGGCACATTTTCTTCTACTTAGAAGGCTGAATAAATATTTGCTAAATGGATTTAAACTTGAAAATTGAACTGCTTGAGTTCACCCTGTGTCAGATTACTCAAGAGGTTAGATGTCAGGTTTTATAATTAGGAAGATGGTCACCTCCGTGATGCCATTACTGTCAGACTAGACAAGAAGGTTCAGAAAGTGTATGTGGGGAGTGGCAGGTGTGGAGTTGGGGGAGCAGTGAAACTCTTTGAAAATACTGGAGTTATTCCACCCAAGGAAGAGAAGGATTAAGAACAGGATGTCGGGATAGCAAGGTGCGCTGGAGAGAGAAAGCATTTATTTCATGTAGAAGGCACAATAATACAAGGTAACAGAATTACATTTGATTGGGCCGAAGAAAGGATTTCTTAACTCAGTGTTAAATGATTAAGACAGGTGCCCTGTAGACTATTTTCCTAGAGAGCTTTCAAAATGGAATTGCCATTTATCCCTTCCAAATGATTTAATCACAGGACTTTCTGGTAAGGTATGTGTAAATTCAATACCCTATTTTATTTGTAATTCTGAGAATCTGTGGTATGAACAACTTCAAATGTGAGCTTTGCAACAACTCAACTCTGAACAATTTGATTTTCTTTTTTAAATACATAGGCCGGAGTCAAGTTCTAAATCAAGTCTTTAGTGTGGATTTAACCAGGTTGCATTTGAGAATACTAGCCAGTGCGTGGCACTAAGTATTGTATATGTTGGAGAAATGTCCAGGAGCGGGCACTCTGGGAGACACAGGAGCAGCCAGGGAGGTTTTCTGCCTTTGTCAGATGCAATGAATTGCATTCACCAGGCCCCTTGTTTAAATGTGTTATGAAAGTGACACAGTGTTTACTTTCCATTATGAGAAAGTACACTGCCGTGCAGGCTTGGAATTAACTGTTTTCATTTGATTACCTAAAGGATAACTCCCTGGGATGTGAGTACAATCATCCCAGTTATTCTCCTGGATACAAAGCGACAGGTAATTAATGGCCCCTTGTGCATCCCGGCAAAGACAAAAAACGAACAGGAACAGCCCTGGGAGTGAGAAGTGTGAAAAGTAAAGGATGAAATCTTAGTTTAATTTTATAGACAATGCATCTGAGGGAGGTGGGAGGGAATCAACCACAAAGCAGTCATAGCCCTTCATTTCCCCTGGCCCTGATCTTCACCCAGAGCTTGGCAGAGACGAGAAGATGCTGTAACAATGCTGTCATGAGGACGGTTGCTTTCCTCTGTGTGTTTGCGGGCAAAGAAAATCATGTTTTCGTCGTAAACAATTATGTGATCTCAATTTGAATTGGAAACAAACACTCTTTCCTCCACAAGTAGCGATGTATTGTCACTCAGAAACCCTCCACTCACTAAGATGAGGAGAGATTTCTCAGCACAAATGACCAACTTGAGAGGACTGAGGCTGAAGTGGAGGGTATTTGTACGACCACTTGTCTAGGCCTGCCCACTTGGACGTGTGTGTATGAGATCTTTATCTACCATCTGATTCAAAGAGCAGACAGAAGCCCCCCAATCTCAGGCTTGAGGAAGTGAGCAGACAATTGCGTCGTGGCACAGAAGCGCGGGTTAAATTCAAGGTTTCATGAAAGGAAACTGATTCACACACAAAGCAAGTGTCTTGTCCAGGAAAGTAACCCACTGTGCTCAGAGACTCACAGAAAGGCCTGTTTGTTTTTTCCCATCTGAGGTTGCTCACCAGATTAGCCCAGGGAGATGGCTCCTCAACCAAGCAAAGGAAAGAGTGGCCCTTGGGTCCAAGCTAGTTGACACTGGAATCAATATCTTTCCTTCTAGCAGAGAGTGAAGGATTCTATTAGAGTCATCTAATAGATGGGATCCTATAGGATCTTCAGGTTGGAAAGTGTAGGAGGTGGTGTTCATTTCTGTGTCTAGCTGGGAAATTCCTGCTGGCGGGCGAGCAATCCCAAGCTTTTTGATTGCCTCAGGCTCTGGTAGAGGCAGGGAGGTCCACTGGTCCCCTCCGTTGGTCTGTTTTCTATCAGCCATCCCCCACTTGGTTTATGAATTTTCTTTTTGGAAGAGTGCATCTTGGTTTCTGGGTTAGGCTGCTAGAAAATTAGATCCTATCTGGATGAATGAATAAAAGAGATGTATGCTCTCAACTACAGGAGGTCAGAGGCTACGCCAGGCTTGCTGAATATAACAGGCACGAAGTAGAATTATTGAATAAATAAAGGAAGGAAGAAAGGAAGCAAAGAAGGAATGTATTCAGCCTCCTCTAAGGATGGCAGTAAAATGGTTCCCTCCTACCCAACTCGTCCATCTCACTCATTATCTTACAGCCTTATCAATTCTCTTTCTCTAAATTTCAGGTTGCTGAGAAAATCTTCCATCCATTCAATTGTGAAAGGAAAATAAATCTCAGGGCCCCCAAATCACTAAGCTAAAGAGAAAAGTCAAGTGGGGAACTGCTCAGGGCAAAACTGCCTTTCATTCTATTCAAAGTCACTCCCCTGCTCACTGAGATAAATGCATATCTGATGTTCTCCTTTGGAGAGGCTAGTCAGAAACTCAAAAGAATGCAACCATTTGTCTGGAATCTACCTACGACCTGGAAGCACTCTCCCCACTTCTCGTTGTCCTGCCTTTCTGGGCTGAACCAATGTTCACTTACCTATGATGATTGATGTCTCATGTCTCCCTAAAATGTATAAAACCAAACTGTGCTCTGATCACCTTGGGCACATGTCATCAGGATCTCCTGAGGCTGTGTCACGGGTGTGTCCTTGACCTTGGCAAAATAAATTGTCTAAATTAACTGAGAGCTGTCTCAGATATTTGGGGTTCACACAAGAAATTGTCAGTCATACTGCCCTGATGATTAAGTTGAAGGAAAGTTGAATTACTGCTTGCCCAGATTACCGCAGTGGCCTCTACTTGTTTAAGGCAAGTCTACATTAGTTGCTCACCTTTATGGAGCCACATCTTTAGATGCCTCCTGCAATAGGACTCTTGTAGAAGGACGCTAACACTGCCAGTACTCTAGAGGAGTGCAAATAAGCCTTCTGGGTGGCATTCAGCTGAGGAAATGCGAGTTCAGGAATTTCAGGTATGATCTGAATCTCCATCCTACATACATGCAACCATGTGTTGCACACAAACACACATGCACACACATAGACCACACACACATTGCATGTGCACAAACGTTGCTCCATTTAAACAAGTGTCTCTTAATTTATATCTGAAATATCACTCTTATCTGGAGTGCATGATGATGCTTTCTTGGTTTTAAAGACAGGAGAAAGAAGAGGAGAACATAAGAGACATGATCCCGTAAGTGGAGAGGCATTCTGGAGAGTAGGAAAACCAATACATACAGGGAGGGTAGGAGTCAGTAAAGAGGCATTTTGACGTTGCACATCTTTGTCCTGCAGACATCAAAAAACCAGAGCCATCACACTGCATTCAGAGTAATCGGCCTCCTAAAACGCGGCACTGTTTGCTACATCTCATTAGAAGACACGCTTGTCCAAGTGTGTGAGAGTCTCTGGCAGGTGAGAATAAAGAGGCAAGGATGGTGTATATTATGTACATAATTCTGATCAGTGGCAGGACATTTTTGGATTCCTTGTGTCTGAGAAGACAATGGCACAGTTTAGCACAGAAGTGCAGGTTAAACTTAAGGTTAACCCAAACTTAACTGTGAGGGTTGAATGCTACCTCACCACAGCATAGCACAATGGGAGCGCTCTCTTCCTCCTAAGCATAACCCTGCTTCTTCCCACCTCCCATTCTCCTAACATATTTATAGGGGAAGGTATTTCTCCAGTTGGTATTCAAATGGAAGCTGACATTGAGTTTGGTGCTTTTTTATGTGGTCCTTTGCACAAACCCTGGGATTAGAATAAGCCTCATAAAAAATGATTCTAAACCTCCCCTCTGCCCAGCTGACACCTGTGAAGCACAATTGTGTTTTAATGACAACACTTTGGGATGGCTCAGGTACACATAACGCCATATGCAAGGCTTTCAGATGGTGGCAAATGCCATCAGTACTTACAATCCCTGTAGGTAGGTTTTCTCTTGCTGTGTTCAAGTTTGAATGGAATATAAATGCACCATTAAGGCTGCCCTAGAAGTACAGAGAGCAGTTGTTGCATAGTTAAGCGAAAAGGCAGCATTTTATGTCTGATAGAGCAGTCATCTTGCAAACAGCAAATTGGTAGAGAGAGGCAGAGGGAAGAGATGTATGGAGAGTAACCTCAACAGAAGAGGGAGATGGAAGTCTGCAAGTTCCTTTTAAATAACATACTGTACTTTATCAAGCTTTTAGAGAAAAAAAAATGCAGATTCTTTTCTAGGATTAGATGTAAGGTGCTTATCCCTCATCCTCCCACCCCAGCACAGGCAGGAAAGCCACTATGATCACCACCACCATTGTTAGTAAGAAAGAGGGAAGAGGAGAAACAACCCTCCTACGCTACAGTAAACAAAGCGAGTTTAGCCCATCACAGTGAATGATGAATGGCTTCGCATCACTTTCCTAGGGAGAGAGAAACCAAAGATTGTGTATCAATTTTTATAATTTTAAGGCTGAAAGATAATAACTCTGTAATAACTCTGCAGAAATGGAGCAGACTATATAAAAATCCCCTCTGAAAATGTGATTACACGTAAAAATCCATAAAAATGTACAAAGTGATAGATGAACCAAAACTAAACAAATGCAGTTTTTTATCCTTTTGGAACTGAGCAGAAATAGCATATGTAGAGAGAATGATTTTATTTTGTATTTTTAAAAGAAATATTTGGAACTTAATTGAATTATACTTCTGCTGGGAATTGAAATTTTCAGACGGAATATCGGATTTTATTTTAAATTGAATTCCACATTGAAGAGATGAAGAACGAACCATCAGTGAAATATTAACAATAAAGTTGACACATTTCAATAAACAACAAAAGAAGCTGAGCATAATATAAGCTAGACAGTTTCTTCCTACACTTTCCTAAACCCCCAAAGGGTCTATATTAACTATTCTTGATAATTTGGATAAGGAAATCATCTTTGATCAATTTTAATGAAATCTAGTTTACATTTATATTTATTTCTAGAGATTCTTAAAACAGATCAAAATTAAATCCTTTTCTTGTGGTCACCCTGATGAATGTACTGTTTCCTTTACACCTTCAACGTCATATTATTAGTGAATCTAGAACAGGTATTGAAATGCTTGTGTCATTCTGCATGTTCCTCAGAAGTTACCAAGTTAATCCTGGATTCTACATACTCCATCTTTCCAATATATATTATTTTTATTAAATGATTTTGTTTGAGTTGAGCCTTCAGGAATTTCACGACTTCCCATTAGGTAAATTTAACCAACATCAACATATATTATGAAATGTGCTTACATTTTTTGCATTTACAAATCACACTAACAATTTGTTTAATAATTAGGGTTGATGAGAACAATGCTTTTCTTCTCTCAACTTTGAAAATCTTGTATCAGAAGTCCTTAGAGATCTATTTATAAATTTTTAACTCATAGTTATCAGCTGGTATGGACATCCCTGTATAGTATAATCAAGGTTTTTTTTTTTTTTTAACCATTTTCCATGGAATCTGGGTAAAGTGCATTATTAATACAGTGCGTTCTTTCTTTTTTATTTTCTTTCTTTCAAGAGACAGAGTCTCTTTGTCACTACTCTTTCTTTTAAGAGACAGAGTCACTTTGTCACTACTCAAGTCACTCAGGCTGGAGTGCAGTGGTGCAATCATGGCTCACTGCAACCTTGAACTCCTAGGCTCAAGCAATCCTCCTACCTCAGCCTCCCAAGTAGTTAGGATTAAGGCATGTGCCACCATGCCTGGCTAATTTACAAAAACATTTTTTTTTGGAGAGGCAGGGTCTTGCTACGTTGCCCTGGCTGGTGTCAAACTCCTGGGCTCAAGCGAGCCTGGCTGCCTCTGCCTCCCAAAGTGCTGGGATTATAGGCATGAGCCGCTGTACCTGGCCAGAATCATTTTAATATATAATTTCAGCACATTATTTACATCAACTAGATATAGGGCAAATACAGAGACTAAGTTAGCAGCATCCCAATCAAAGCTGTATTTTTAAATGGCTGTAAGGAAGAGCAATGTGCCACCTGCCCGCATCAGCTTTGCTCACAGGAAGCTGTTTCCTCCACACCCCCAGAAAGAAGGCTGGACAAAGGGGTGAAGGTCTGGAAACCGACAAGGAGGATTCAGAGAAGGGACAGGGAGAACTGGATAGGGACGATGGGTTGGAAAAATAAATTCCAGAGCAAAGAGAAGTTGGAGAGATGAACAGATCTTCGATTTATTGCTAATTTAATTAATATAGGATGACTCTACAACCTTGGTTAAAAACCCATTCAAGTTGTATAAACTTCCACCCTTCATGCAGCCCCAATTTTGAATAGGAGAGCCTTGGTAGGAGGTAACAATACGCTTGGGGCACTGATGTGCCTGTTATCAACAATATGAACTGCAATTCATCTTACTAAACACCTTGGACAGAATCCAGCTTGAGACTCAGAAGGCTCTTTGGGATAAAAGATGTTGTCACTAAAGAAACCCTGTTTGCTTATCAAAGCAAAGGCAACCAATTAATAGTTTTATCACTAATACTGTTACCCCGAGGGCTAAAATTAAGTTTATTTATTTATTTTAAGTTCAACATCCTAAATTCCACCCTAATGCACAACAAGGTACGGCTCGTATTACAAATGAATAACTTAATTAAAAAACATTGATTTTGCTCATTGACTGCTGCAAATTTTATTAAATATTAATGATAACATTTTGTATTTTTTATACTAGTCATGAAAGTTTTATGCACTCTCTCCCCTACAGCAGCCTTAGATTTCATGACAAAATCTTAGGCAGCTCAAAGTACAAACATAAATATTGCATTGGCCAGCTTGGTACAATATATGTGTGTACATAAGCCGATAAAAGGATGTGTGTACATTTACCCAAATGTGAGTGAGTGAGGAAAGCTGACATGAGGCAAGCAAGGGAGAAACTTGAATGGTGAAAGTTTATGTTTTATTTTAACCACCAAGAAAGGTCACCCAGAAAGAAAGTCCTGGAACCAGCGTCCCATGAGACAAGACCTCAGAACCTCTCACCACATGTGTCCTTTCCCCAAACTCTGCATATGGAATTCAAGGCACAAAACATTGCTCCATAAACCACATGATTTTACAGGTTTCAAGTCTATGGCAAGAGGTTTCACCAGAAGGACAAAATTCTCTTCTTTCCTCACCCCATGGGTGCAAAAAAAATTTTTCCATAAAAGCCACCAGGCTATGGGAGAGCCTTTAAAATTTTTGCAGTTTTTTGTTGTTGTTGTTGTTGTTTTGCTTCTGTGGGTTTATTTTACATGTTTACATTAGAGTCGGCACAGCCTTGCATTGTTATCTGTCTAGATGGACTAGAAGTCACCCTTATCTGGTTTTCTCCAAGCTTTTAATGGTAAGCATAAATGTTTGGGATCAGCTGACAGCTGTGTGCAGTGAATCAGGCAACATCATCATTCGGAATGTTTTTCTATTATTTGGAAAATTGTACTTAAAAAAATCCATAAAGCACTCAGTAGAACATCGTTTCTTTGAACTTCAGCAGTGACTGATTTTTTTTCTTCCTTTGTATCTCAAAGTCATTTAAAAACAAGTGAGAAGTTAATTTGTTGAGATCATTTCCTCAAATCACCTCCCAGGTCAAAAAGACAGCTCTGGCCTCTGCGTTACACAGTCTTTCCAAAACGTAACCAACTTCCTTAGGGATACAATCATAGCAACCCAGACTTGAAAACAAAGCCGGAGTCTGATTAAGTACTTGCCAAAAAGATTCCAACCATAGTCTACATAGTTTGCAAATACCCACATGGGGAAGGTTGAGGGAGAGAGGAAGGGAAGGACAGGAGCTTTCCAAAGGAAATATTTCACATGGAAAATATCAAGCATTTTCTAAAATGAGTAATTAAAGGACAGGATAGAATATCTTTAAGATATAAGCTTCTTTGAAATGCAAAATAGAAATTTTTGTCAAATAGGCAACGGAAGATAATATGTGAAAATCAATGTACTCAATATTATAGCTCCTATAATAGGAGACTTAGGGACCTGAGAATACGTTTGCATGTTTCAGCATTGTATTCGTTTGGGCTGAATTATCAAATTTCTGGCAATGTTTGCCTCTTTTCACTACTTCCTCTCTCCTTCAGCTCCCAGTGGTCCCTGGAAAGCCCATTTCTCTCCTCGCTCCTGGGTCCTCGTGCTGCTGGTGGTCTCAGGTTCTTTTACGTCCCCTGGTTCCATCCCAAAAGTCCTTCCTAGAAGTCTTTCGAAATGCCTGAATTGGGATTTCTTTCTTGTCTTCCTTCCTTCCCTCCTCCTCTTCCTCCTTCCCTCTTTTCCATTCTTTTTCCCACTAGGTCTCTAGACCTCGTGATCTGCCCTCCTCAGCCTCCCAAAGTGCTGGGATTGCAGTCCTGAGCCATTCCCGCTAGGTTTCTAACACAAGCAAAGAAGTTGTAGCTTCCACGAGGTGTGCTTTTCAGACTGTGTTATGTAAAACAACTCCAGACGTCAAGTCACAGGTGGCTTTAAAAAAGAAATCTTCTAAAGAAAATAAACAAGGTAGAAACCATGACATTAGATGTGGCGCATAGATTTTTAGTGAATTTAAAGATGTGCAAAATGCCAGCCAGTGACATCAGTATCATTTCCCTTTCTGTTGTGGAATGAAGTTTCTTTTCCTAATGAGGAATGCTCAGGGAAACAGAACAAAGCTAAAAAGAAAAGAACCCTTCTTTGCAATGGCATTTGACACTGGACCCCAGGGCATGGTTTGACACATTTTGAAAGTACCAGTGTCCCCAGCTCAGCTTGACTGCGAACCGGCTCTACATAGCCACCTTTAGTCCTCCCAGGGAATAAATTAAATCTGCATCTTGACTGTGTTGCCTGGAAGAGACTGTTCAATTATTTATGGCGCAACAGCAGGGAGTTGCTCTTCTCTGCAAGTTGCGGGGTGGGGGTGGGAGCGTACACTGCCTCTTGTCTACTTCGGGCCACTGCGTTAGTGAGTCCGGTAATGTCTAGAGAAAATAACAAGGCTGGAGGCAACTAAGATATATTAACGAACAAGAGGCAGTAAATCCCTTTTTACTGTTTGGAGACTGTGCTCAGGCCAGCGCGACTGTCACCGTGCTCTGGTGCTGCCTGGGATGTGGCAGGTGTGCACTCATGCCTGACCGCAGAAGGCTGGGCGGGCGGTGGGTTAAAGACCACACGGATTTAAGGTTGAGGTTTTAAAAATGGAAATAAGAAGAAACTCAAGAATGTGTAACCAGAGAATTTACTAATTGGAGACTTCTGCTTCCCATTTTTGGTCCTAATTCTCAGACTCAGTGTCATAACAGCTTCATGTTGAGAATCAGAAGACCCAACTCTGGGTCTCAGAGGGCTGACTTCCTGAAAGTTTTTGTTATTTACTGGTATTTCGGAAATCACTGAAGCACAGAGTCACTTGGAGAGCCACACCGGCGTTTCCATGAGGGTGAGTCTTTGCTATGGAGACTTAGACCCTGGTCCCTGCTGTCCAAATTGTTTCAACATGGAAAAAATAAATAAATAAAACTAAGGTATAATTATTGAGAAGACTTAAATATATATACCCCGAGATAGGCAATACATTTACATGTCAAAGTGAAATAATCTCAATGACTTATGGCCTTTTTTTATATATACCAAATGTCCCTAAATTTAACGTACATATCTTTTAAAGTATATTTATTAAATTCTATTCCTTTTCTTGAAATAATCTTTAATAAAAATTTTAAAGATGGACATCATTCCTGATTTTTCTTAAGAATTCATAAAAATACATGAACATTGTGGCTTCTTGGTTAATATTATGTTAACCATCTCCTATTTCTTTGCAAGTAAGTTCTTAAATTTTAGATTTTAAGATAGTAGATAGGGCTGAGGTCTGGCATAATATAAGATATAGGTAATCTCAATGGCAATATAATAAACCATTTAAAATTGGGCATTACTTTTTTTTTGAGATGAGGTCTCACTATCTCACTGTGACTGATCCTTATACTCCTGGGCTCAAGCAATCCTCTCAGCCTTCAGAGTAGCTGGGACCAAAGAAACATGTCACCGCATTCAGCTATTTAATTTTTGTAATGACTCATGGCCGGTTTTCTAAATGACTCATTATGTTGATAAGGCGTGAAGAGAGAATGCAACATGGCAGAGGGGTGCAGAGGAAGTAGACACCATACGAAAGTAAAGATGGAGGATCCCAAAGGCTGCCTATTTTGTAATTTTTCATAAAACCAGGGATTAGAAAATGTTGTGTTTTAGTTGTTGGGACAGAGCAGAAATCCTATCCTAAAATATATATGCAGGACATTTGTTGTTTCCATTTTTTTTTCCCCCAGATGAAGTCTCACTCTGTCACCCAGGCTGGAGTGCAGTGGGGTGGTGATCTTGGTTCACTGCAACCTCTGCCTTCTGGGTTCAAGGGATTCTCCTGCCTCAGCCTCCCAAGTAGCTGGGATTACGGGCGTACACCACCATGCCCAATTAATTTTTGTATTTTTAGTAGAGATGGGGTTTCACTGTGTTGGCCAGGCTGGTCTCAAACTCCTGACCTTGTGATCTGCCCGCCTTGGCCTCCCAAAGTGCTGGGATTACAGATGTGAGCCACCGCGCCCCACCTGTTATTTTAGTTTCTAAGAGGTATTATTCAACCTAACTTCATTGGAAGGATAATAGAAATCAAATACGTGATATTTACATGGACTTTTTCTCTTCTGAGAACTCAAGACTTTTTTTTAGACCTATCTAATCCCTCCAATATCCAAGTTAAGAGTCCAGTTTATTACATCATGTTACTATTAAAAAAAGTAAGACATGGAAAAAAAGTTTTTGCTTTCTAGACAGATAGATAGAAATAGACATATGCAGTAGTTTGGTTTGTCCTAATATTAGCACATGTTACTATAACATTCTTTTACATGTGTGGTACACATTAATTAGTTCTGTAGTCGAGAAAGAAACATGCTAGGATGGGGGACATACCTACCATTGAAATTAGCATCAAAACTAAATTCTATGAAGACCTACCTATTTGGTAGCAGTGAGCCACAAATTCTTCCCTTTTTCTACCATGTTTAAACTTTTTATTGAACTATAATATACGTAGAAAAAAGTATACATATCACAAATGATACATCCATTGATTTCTGTACCTTTTTCTTTTAACAACATAGTGATAAGAACATGCTCACAGGTTAAAGCAGGAGAGCAGCCAGTAGGAAGGAAGGAGATGAAAACTAGGAGAGTTTCCGCAGTGGCAGATGGTAGACCCCAAAGACAGCTGCAATATCTCCCATCCCATCTCCTCTTCTGCCATGTGACCTTTCTGCTCCCCCATCCAGGGCTAGAGTTTATTTCTTTACCCACTGGCACCTGGTTAGGCTCTGTAATTGCTTTGACCAATAGAATATAGCAGACATGAGACCTTGCCATTTCTTGGCACAAATCTTTAACTGGCTTGGAAGCTTCTTCCTGCCTCTTGGAGTATTTGTTCTTGGTATGGCCTTTAATAAACCCAAATCACATGGAGGGGCCTTATGTAGGTATTCGAGTCACAAGCAGCTGAGCTCCCAGCCAGCGTCAACTTCCAACTTTGCGTGTGAGCCATCTTGCATCTCTGATCCAGGCAAGGCCATAGCTGCAGCCCTAGCCAACATCTGACGTCAAGTGCTCAAGAGAGCCCAGTAAGAAATGCCCAGCTGAGCCCAGTCAATGCACAGAACCATGAGAGATAATCAACTGTCATTTCACCGCCACTAATTCTGGGGGTGGTATGCTGAACAGGAACAGATAACTGGGACAGGTACCAAAACACTGATCTAGGAATTTGACTTTTGGATATAGGAGGAAGGCAGAAAAGACACAAGAATAAGCAAGATTGTAGATATATTTTCAGATTGTATGGGTGGGAAATTATAGGTGAGAATCTGGACACAATATCATTTGGTAAGAAAGAAAGAAGGATGGGAGAGTGGGTTTAAGAAAGGGACAAATATTTGGAATATCAGATATGTGGAAACGAAGACAGAATCCAGCAAAAAAGGTCACTACATACTTGAAGGCCATGCTGATGTTTAAGCTATAAATCTGAAGAATACCATCAGCCTGGGGCTGGGATTTTTTCCATCTGTGCTCGGCTATCCAGGTCAGGAGAAGACAAAGAACATGACTGGATTGATCTTGGATTGCAGGTTTAAAGAATAGATGAGGAAGGAAGACAGAATGAGACAGCTGTGGTTTCTGGTAGGCAGGAGTTGAAGGCATGGCCCATGGGTTTTGGCCTGTGCAGGGAAAGAAAGTAAAGCTGGGAGAGGCTTGATAATAGAAATGAAGGAAAAAATGATGCAGAAGTTTGAGGCCAATAAGATTAGCGATATGAAAGAAGAGAATGAGAAAGCTGGGGAGATAGGCTGTGCTCCAAAAACAGAATATTATAGAATCTGTTGATGTGTTTGCATCTTTTCATAACATTGCTAGTAATTAAGAGTTTTACCTAGAAAATATTTAAAGACTAATTGAATAAATCAGTTAATATTTCCACTTGTCAGTAACTTGTGAAATCTCTGGTTGGGAAGATGGTTCACAATGGAGGGTGAGACTGTATATTTGTCCACACTCAATGGTGTGCTGGAGCTGGCTCACACCCACCTGGGGGAGCCCACTGTGCACCTTTTTCCATAGCTGCACTCAGTGACATCATGTTGGTAGCTTGAAATTGGCCATGGTAGAAATATTTACACCACAGAAATATGCAGACAGTATAAATCAGAGCCTTTGTTTCCCAGAGAGTAGGTTGTTGAACATTTACCAGCACATCAAGACCCACAACCTCCCTATATTCTATTTATAATCAGTAAGATAATTTAATTTTGTCCATTTCTTATCAATGTAGATATATTTACTTATGCCTTATTCTGCATAATTGCATCCAAAGGACACAAAAGAAGAGTATTTCACCCCACTTTTTTTTTTTTTTTTTTTGAGAAGGAGTTTCACTCTTGTCACCCAGGCTGGAGTGCAACGGTGTGATCTCAGCTCACTGCAACCTCTGCCTCATGGGTTCAAGCGATTCTCCTGCCTCAGCCTCCCGGGTAGCTGGGATTATAGGTACCTGCCACCATGCCCATCTAATTTTTTGTTTTTAGTAAAGATGGGGTTTTACCGTGATCTGCCCACTTTGGCCTCCCAAAGTGTTGGAATTACAGTCGTGAGCCACCGCGCCCGGCCCTCACCACAATTTTATTAGCTGCACGAAACCTGATTGTTGGATTTTTTTTTTTTTTTTTTTTTTTTTGAGAGGATGGAGTCTTGCTCTGTCACCCAGACTGGAGTGCAGTGGCACGATTTCGGCTCACTGCAACCTCCACCTCTCGGGTTCAAGCGATTCTGCTCCCTCAGCCTCCAGCATAATTGGGACTACAGGCGTGTGTCACCATGCCTGGCTAATTTTTGTATTTTTAATAGAGATGGGTTTTACCATGTTGGCCAGGCTGGTCTCAAACTCCTGGCCTCAAGTCATCTGCCTGCCTCCCAAAGTGCTGGGATTACAGGCATGAGTCATCACACCTGGCACAGTAAGTGATTTCTTACTCGTAAAGCCTCACAGCTCCCCTTTCCCTACACCAGGGCATTCCAAGATGGAAGGAAAAAGGCAACAAAACAAGCTGAAGTCAGCAGTGTGAAGATGTAGGCCTTGTCCAATTGTATGGAATGGAAGAAAGGAGTACCTGTGAAATGAATATTCTGAGAGGGAAAAGCAGGTGCACTTTGACCTCGCTTCTTGGTGAGCTTGTGGGAAAGAGGAATGGAAGACAGGCCGCGGCTCTTCCTGGACCAGTGTGAACATGCCTACCAATACTGCATGAAAGCCCGAGGACCAGGAATCTACCCCCACACACGCACCTCCCTTCTGCTGTTACTTCACAAACACTATAACACTGTCACTGGAAATGGTGCTAAATAATTGATCACTTAGAACAAAATTATTTAACCTCTCCAATTTGCCCAGTGATGTAGCTGCTTTATTAATGATCTAGGGCTCAAACAGGCTTATCTTCACACTTCAAAAAAAAAAAATCTTTTTTTTTCCAGTTAAGTTTTCACATAGTGCCTGCATTCTTCTTTCTCTCTCATTTTGCTTTGAATAGTAACAAAAATGGATGAATAGCACAACAGAAAGGAAAGGTTACTGGGAATATGAATGAAAATCTAATCCTCAGAGGATTTCAACCTAGTGGGTTTGAAATAAGACACGCATATTTTACCTGCTAGGCAGAGCAAATCTGAGAATTTGAAGCTGTTACTTAGTATAATGAACTGTATTAATATTTTTTCCATTCAGGCAATAAAAACTGAGAATGACTTAGATGTAACTATAAGGCTAATAAAACTCGTTGTGACTCACTCTCAGAATTACAACATAGACTTAAAAGGCTTCATTATAATCAGAAGCATATTAGCTTGGTCTCTTTTTATTAAACAGGAGCAAATTCATATATTTTATTTTGGGGAGAATTCTAAAAGATGAATATGTAATAACTAGTGTTGAAATGCAGGTTGATATTTTTGCGAGAAGAAAAAGCACTAACAAAACCTTCATGCCACTTGAACTCTGTTTTGTGACATTTTTTATCCTGGTGGCTTCAGAGATAATCCCATTAGGCATTAGATGGTTTCCTTCCATACTTTTCCTTAAATACAATAGGAAGCAGACCATATTTTCTACGAGAGCAGGAGAAAAGTGAGGTGAGTGGTGAATTCTGTTTAATGGTGATTCTGTTTAGTGATTGAAAATTATCTAACAGGAAAAAAAATTTTCCTCATTTTTCCTTCCAAGGGCACTTATTAAGATAGATTTTTAAATGAATATATGGTGATACAGCAAATTAAGTTTGCTGCATCCAAACAACACCACACCACAAGATTTTGAAAATACCCAAGGTTCTTTTATTTCATATGTGGGGAAACTCTTATATTGTGAATATATATCTTTTTCATTATCTCTAGATGATAGTATCTGGGGACAAGAAGTGGTTTTAAAATTTCAACAAGCTTTCCCTGAGGGAAAAATGACACATGAAGTAGTGTGAATATGGGGATGAAAGCTGGTTGGTTATGAACTGAATATTCGTGTCTCTCTAAGATTCATATCTTGGAGCTCTAACACCTAAGACAATTATATTTGGAGATGGAGCCTTTGAGAGGTGATTAGGTTTAGAAGAGGTACGGAGAGTGGAGTTCTTACAATGGAATCAGTGCCCTTATAAGAAGAGAGACCTGAGCCAGAACGCTTCCCCCAACCACCCCATGTAAGGACACAGCCAGAAGGTGGCCTTCTGCAAACCAGAAAGAGAGCCCTCACCTGGAACTGAATCAACAGGTACCTTGATCTTGGACTTCCACCATCCCCAGAACTGTGAGAGATAATTGTCTGCTGTTTAAGCCACTTGGCCTGTGGTATTTTGTTACGGCAGCCTGAGCTGATTAGTACATAGTCTGTGCCCTTAGAGAGCTCAGTCAAGAGTGGCAAATAAATATACTGAAGATTCTGGTAAGATAATTACTATCACAGGGATATGCATGGGTTGCTAATGGAATGCACTGGAGAAATGATGTAGTTTTCTTTCTGAGATTTAATAGGTGAAGAAATGAAAAAAAAAAATGCCCTGATGTTAAAGTGATTTGCTTAGGGTCAAAAGTTGGTTGGTGGCAGAGCTGGGATATTAACCGATATTTTATGTGTGTATGTACGTATATGTGTAATATATTTTTAAGCCATTCACTGAGTGCATTTTGACTAAGCCCTTATTATATGCTAATTATAATAAGCATGTTAAAACCATAAACTGAGGCACAATAAATTTTAAAAAGTTTGTTTGAACAAGCAGCACTTCATGAATTGGGAAGCTCCAAACTAGAAGACGTTTGGGGTTCTATCAAAGAAGCGTAAGGGACAAGCTTTTATAGAGCTAATGTGAAAGTAATACAAATAAAGTATTTGATTGGTTACAGTTATAAAGTTGCCTTATTTGGTTTGTCCTGCTGGAAAGTCCTAGTTAAACAAGTTAGTGGGCTGCTTTTGACCAGAGGGTAAGTTCTGTTTTTCTTTAATACAGGCATTTATAAGAAGTGGCTCAAGCTAAGTTTCACTTACGTTTGCATATAAAGAAAGGTCTAAGTCACTTATGAGGGCTAATTGGCTTTGTCTGCCAGGGAATCTTCAGGCCTGGTCTCCACTTAATCTATTAGGTTGGTGCAAAAGTAATTGTGGTTTTTGCCATTAAAAGTGACGGCAAAAAACTGCAATTACTTTTGCATCAACCTAATACTTTAAAAGTGTTTCCATGAATTATTTTATCCTTTCAACACCCTAGCCCCATTTGATAGATAAGACAACCAAGGTTTAGAGAGATCTGCTAACTTTGCCCAAGGTCACATAGCTCGTCAACATCAGAGCTGGGTTTTGAACCCAGAAACTTGAAATGTCAATGTTTTTGACAGATAACAAATGTAAAAGCACTTGGAAGAAATAGTAAACAAGTGCTGATCTGTAGGATCTCTAGTGCCTTCTCACATGCTACACACACATATGAGAACACACACATTGTATAATTTTAATGATACCTTCCTCACAGGGTTAATTTGAGGATTAATGTGATAGTGGGATTAATACTCCTAGGGACTCTAATAAAGAAAATTATCTCTTTTAGCCTGGGCAGTGTAGCTGGGAGGAGGAGTAGGGTTCTTTCCTGTTCATCCCTGCTTCCTCCAGACCACTGTACGGTTTTCGCTTCTTTGAGGCTCACAGCCTCTGGCTACACCAGCCTCTTAGCACAACTGGTGGAATCATTTTTTGGTTCTTCAACTGTTGTCATCATTTTAAGGAAATGTGAAGTCTATGTAGATGACACATCCCACCCTCTGGCTCTGCAGATCTTGTCTGATCACCTCCTTTGCTCCATGTTGCCACTTACTCTGCCCTTATTCCTATTCCCACACAGAGCAGAACACTATTGACAGAATTAAAATAAGAATTTTGAATATAAATTGTTTTTGTGTAATCATGAATATTTTTAATTAGAATAAAGATATAATGAATTTTACTGATATTCCATAGTCTTCATGGGAATATCTGCTTTTCTGCATTTGAAAATATAAAAGCAGGTACTCTCAACATTACATGGTATGTTGATTTTAAAGCATGTCTGCAAATGATTGAACACAGCTCCTGTTGAAGGGCAGGGCCCATGTGCCCTCCTCTTGAATCTGAGCTGACCGTAATGACACACTTGTAACCATTAGAATACAATGAAAGTGATGTTGAATAACTTCTGAGGCTGGCTCAAAAATGGCCAAGTACCTTCTGCCTAACTCTGTTATAATGTTTATTCTGGGGTGAACCAATCAGGTACCACCTAAGAAGCTTGAAGTGGTCCTATTGGAAAGTCCACAAAGAGGCATTATGATTGACAGCCCAAATGAGTTCCAGATGACAACCAGCATCAACCACCAACCAGGCGAGTGAGCCAAACTGAATACACACCCCAGTAGAGCCTTCAGATCATTGCAGTCCAGCCAACATGTGACTGCAGCTACATGAGAGACCCTAAGTGACTACTGCCCAGCCACGTTCTTATTGAATGCCTGACCTACAAAAGTGTAAGCAAAATAAAAGGACTGTTTTAAGCCACTGGGGTTGGTGATAATTTGTTACACAGCCAGTAACCAAGACACATGAACATTAGGGCCTCTACATACCTTAATGTCTTCTATTCATTACCATCTGGTTTAACTTACAGCCTTGCAAATGATACATTAATATTTCTAAAGAAGTTTACTTTCACAGATAACAGTCATATGTTAATATGAAGAGCTAGATTCATTTCCATTTAAATGCCCCCAAGAACCTTGTCTGTAAGCATTTTGGAGAGCTGGACACAATGGGAATAAAAAAGAAAATAGGTTGACTCTGCCAATGCCTTTTATTAGACCTATTGTTTTTAAAAGATTATTTCTAATTATATAATGGTTAGAAAGTCAAGGGCCTTTGTCTAACTTTGAGCATATTAATTATCTTCTGTCTTAGTTTCACAAACTCAAGGACATGAATAATTTTTATCTGCCTTAATCATATCATCTAGGGGAATCAGAATTTTCAAGAGATAAACTTTGAACACTTTTACTTAAAAAATTTTAAAGTGATTTCTAAAACAGGAATATCCAATTCTTGCAAGATATTTAAAATATACAATTTAGGAGTGGGGTTGGGAAGGCATAGAGTTGGGTGGTGATTAAAATGGCTGGAAGTTAACTCCTCTGGTGGATTTACCTAAAGCCCCTTTCACAGCTGAGAAATTGTCTAGGGATCATTAACTTTTATAAAACCATGTAAATATATTTTCACTGAGAAAAATGTGTTGTTAAATTAATTTGTCTGAGGCTGCCTCCATACTATGAGTTTCTATGTAGCAAAATGCAACCTAACTTAGTACATAAATCCACTGCAACCTAATTTAAGAATACATTCTTGGCCAGGCACAGTGGTTCATGCCTGTAATTTCAGTGCCTTGGGAAGCTGAGGCAGGAGGATCACTTGAGCCCAGGAGTTTGAGACAAGCCTGGGCAATACAGTGAGATTCCATCTCTACAAGAAGTTAAAAAACTAGCTGAGTGTGCTGGGATGCACCTGTAGTCCAAGATACTGAGGTGGGAGGATCACTTGAGCCCAAGGCAGAGGTTACAGTGAGCTGAGATTGTGCTACTCCAGCCTGGGTGACAGAGTGAGATCTTGTCTCAAACAACCAACCAACCATTCTTAGCTGGGTATGGTGGAGTACACCTGGAGTCCCATCTACTCAGGGGGCTGAGGCAGGAAGACTGCTTGAGCCTAGGAGTTCAAGGCTGTAGTGTGCAATGATGAGCCACTGTCCTCCAGTCTGGGTAACATAGTGAGATTACAGTCTTTTATATATATAAAAAAAGAATATGCTCTTGTAACAAGTAGCTGAGTCTCAGCCAATCATAGCAGCCAAGCTTTTAGCAAATCACAGGCTGTCAACTAATCAGACCATGAACATATAAGGCAAATGCCTCATCACACTGTATGCAAATAAGGCAAACTCATAGCTGTAACCAATCAAGCTGTCTCTGTACGTCACTTCCTTTTCCTATCTATAAATACTGCCTGCCACGTTGTTGGGTGAAGCCCTGTGAACCTCTCCTGGTTCTGAGTGCTGCTCAATTCATAAATTGTTCTTTGCTCAAACAAACTCTGCTAAATTTAATTTGTCTAAAGTTTTCCTTTTAGCAGCACCAAGTATCATTGTATAAAAAGTTATCAACTGAATTAAAATTGAGTTTTGCCATGGGAAAAAATGAAATGAAATTGACTTTTTTCTCTTATACTTTTGATAACTTTGCATTTTAATGAGTCATAGAATTTCCATCAGAAGACTCTAGTCAGAGAGAGTTCTTCAAACAAGTTAGGACAGGCATTTTGACCCACAGGTGGCCTGAGGACATCTGGGACACATTGGTGGCCTGGGGACACCTGTGGGTCCTAGAGACCCTTTCAGGAGGTCTGTGAAGTCAAACTATTTTCAAATAATGTTATTACATTATTCACCATTTTTAATCTTGTTCTTTCAGATGCACTGTGGAGTTTTCCAGAGGCTGGATGGTGTGAGATATTGCACAGATCCAATGCACAAGTATACATGAAAATCCAGCTCTCCCATTATATGAGATATTAAAATGATTTACAAAAGTGAAAACTAATCACACTTCTCTATTTTTTGGTTCCATATAGCTATCTTATAAATTTATTAATAAATGATACATTTTCATAAAAAGATACCTTAACATGTAATGGATTTATTATATTTGTGAATATGTATTTTTCCCAATTTTATTTTCTAGGGCAAATATTGATAGACATAAAACATACAAACAAACACTCTTTGATATCCCCAATTTTTTTTAAAAAATGTAAAAGAAGATTGACACCAAAACATTTGAGAACTGCCAGGCTAGGAATTTATCTGAGGAAATAAACATTATTTTACTGATGATAACTATATCATTTATATTGATATAAGCAGGTGTTCCTAGGTACACTGAAAACTTAAGCATCTAAATCTATATTTTGCTTCAAATCTCAAAAATTCTAGTAAGAGTCAGAAAACCTAGTGGCATAATGTGTGGCCTGACTGCTAGATCTTCGAATAAACCACTTATTCGAAACTCTTTGAATCAAAACTCCAGCTACTATAAAAAGGTTTGTGTGTATGTGTGTGTGGTTATTTAATAGGATGACAGATCAACAGGAAAACATTTTTCTATGTGAAATACTATTAATTGAAAAATTCAGTTATGTTCTATCTAAATCTCTCTTCTCCCCTCTTTTCAGAACAGTTAACAGGGTCATACTGTGGTGGCTATTTCCCATTACCTTGTTTGCTTAGGAAAATAAGCAATACAAGAAAAAAAACAGATCTTTCTGTTCCAAAGGACTGTTAAGACTCACTTCATTTAGCCTCTTCTTAACCAACAAAATGGGGCTAATGAATCACTTTTGATTAAGAAGTCCTGAAATTAGATTCTAATTAGGATAATAAAAATTAACTATCTTGATCAACCTGAGCCCTCAACCAAGCCTTGGTCTGATTATTAAATTTTGAGGGAATGAGCAATTTGTTTTTTATTGTTTAATGACTTGTTTTCAGGTTTTTACAATTACATCATTAGCCAAAAACAAGTGAATAAGAATGGCAAAAAAGGAAAACAAAACCAAAAATCATTAATACGAATACTTGAAAAAAGTTTAGTTCTTACAGTAGCTACTAATCATTTTGAATTTGTCCTCTGAAAGTCCTTCAAAGAAAAATATTTACTTATTATCATCTGCTAGTTGTTGAACCACTTGTGGGTATCTAAAAATTGTACAAAAGATAAAGAGACCACACTGTCCTAGTGTTAATTTATACCTGCGTACATAGTGCTTTATCAAGAGTTGTGAGAAAAGTTATAATCCTCCTTACTTTTTAAACTCTTCTGGCTTTCTGAATCTTCTGAATAAACTAAAGGAATAATGTTATTTAAATGTTTTATTGAAAATGTTCATTTTCCCTAGATTTTTTTTTTTTAGGAAATACATCTATTCCTGGATACTTTCATTCATTCAACAACATACTTTCATTCATTCAACAATTTATTATCAAGTACTATGTGCTGGCACTGGATAATGGACTGCAAAAGGGAGAATTTCATGAATTTTTAATTCTAATGGAGTAGATAAATTAACATTTAATATAGCTCAAGTACTTTTTGACAGTAGGAAGAAAAATAAAACAAGAATATAGCGTGTGATGGGATGTGGAAAGGGGTATTTAGATAGGATAATCAATAAGGCTTCTCTGATGGGTAGGTTACAAATGGCCACACATTCTTTCTATCTCATTATGCCTGTCTCTTTGAATTTGGCCTAGGTCATGTGATGCGCTATGCCAATGAGAAATTAGAAAATAGGACACAAGCAGTTATGAAAAGTAGCTAGACATTGGGGTATTCTCTCTCTTGCTACTCTTTACCATGTAAACAAAGCAGGACTAGTCCATTGGGTGATGAGAGGCCACAGAGAGGCCTTAAGGCATCCCTCAGGCAACATTTTCCATCCCTGCTTGGTGTTTGTGAAATTCTTGGACCTGTGGGTTTGTAGTTTTCATCATATTTTGATAAATTTTAGTCATTATTTCAGCAACTATTTATTCTGTCCTCAAACCTTTCTGGGACTCTAAATCACGTTTAAAGCCACTAAAATTTAGCCCACTGCTTATTGGAGCTGTGTTCATTTCTTTTTCCACCTTTATTATCTCTGAATTTCTGACTTTAGATAATTTAGATAATTTCTATTCATTGATAGTCACTCTGCAGTTTCTAAACTGCTGTTAAGCCCATCTAGTGACTAAAAAAAAATTAGCGTCTGTACAAATTTTACAAATTCCCTATGGTTGTGTTTTATATTTCTGTTACTTCATTGTGTGTTCATGTTTACCTTTAAATGCTTGTGTATTTTTCTAATTGCTGTTTTAAAGTCATTTTTTTTACTAGTTTCATCATGACTCCTTACTGGGTCTTTTTCTATTGACTGATTTTTCTTTTGGCTATGGATCACATTTTCCTGTTTCTTTGTACATCCAGTATTTTTTTTTATTGAGGTAAAATATATATATATATATATATATATATATATATACTATATATATGTAGTTTACCACATATATTTATATATATATAGTTCACCATCTTTACAATTTTAAAATGTACAGTTCAGTACATCTAGTAATGTTTGACTGAGTATTTGACATTTTAAATATCACACTGTTTTCTTCCTTTAAAGAGTGCTTTGGCAGGCAGTTAAGTTACTTGTGGGGCAGCCTGAGCCTTCTGAGATTTGTTTTTAAGCTTTGTTGGGGTGATTCTACATTAGCCTTTACTCCAAGGCTAGTTTAGCCCCACTACTGAGAAGTAATTCTTTTGT
Source organism: Homo sapiens (assembly GCF_000001405.40). Taxonomy (NCBI): domain Eukaryota; kingdom Metazoa; phylum Chordata; class Mammalia; order Primates; family Hominidae; genus Homo; species Homo sapiens. Next base: position 10,857,364 of record NC_000010.11, on the reverse strand, counting down.
GGTCTCTACTGACTGGTCTGCTGTTTGACAAGGTCTTTTCACTGCATCTGGTTGGAAATGAAACATCTCCCACCTCTCTGAAAGCTCTAGAAGCTTTTTAGCTTATAGAATCCCTGGTTGTTCTTTTCCCACACCTGTGAAGATTCCCCCAGTGCATGAGAAGGTTAGCAGTCAGTCAACGACCAAGGCAATGTCATAAATTTCTGGAGCTCTTTCTCTGCAAAGCTACTCCAGCTTCTCCAAACTCAAATCTTGGTCTACTCCACTCATTAGCAAACTATTGTTCTCTGCTTGGGTTTCCCCTTCCTTTGCTGTTGTCCAGAAGGTATCAGAAAGCTGGGATGATTATGGAGCTTACCTCATTTATTTCCTTTCTCTAAAAGATCAGAATTCTACGCTTCCTTGTTGTCCAATGTCCCAACAAACTTGTTTCATGTATTTTGTCCAATTTTCTAGTTGTTAATGGTGGGAGAGCAAGTCTGGTACTAATTTCTCCATCAAGCATGAAAATGAAAGTTCAGAAGATTAATTTTTGTTTGTTTGAAGACGGAAGATACTACAGCAATGTTATAAAGCCAATGGGAATCACCCAATCAATAAGATAAATCTGGTGATGCTTATGAAAAATGATATTTCAGAAGTAAATCCTTTGAGAAAGTGAAAAGGGATGTAAATGAGTGCACGAGTAGAAGGCTTGGCATTATTTAGGAGAATGGGAAATGTGTCTAGTGACTCAACGTTTAACAAAGATGCTAACGAAGACAGAATAATAAAGTAAAAAATATTATGCAATGAGAAGATTATTTCTTCCATTGTTTATTATCTGATCAAATGATTTCAGTAAGCAGAAGAATATGATAAAGCACTTGTTCCTTACCTTTAGCCAAAATGCAGTCATTTTTTCCCCCAAAATTACAAGTCTTTAAATATTTGATCTCTCTGTTCTACTTTGCAGATGTTTTATTTGAGGATCTTCATACCCATAGAGATCAAACATTTTTTAAAATATTACATGGGAGTGACTCATTGTGGATGAATTCTGGGTTTTGGTGCTGGTCAACTTTTTTTAAATAAAACATTTGCATTATATTGTTTTCCACTCAGGAAAACAACGCGATCCGGTGTGAAAATGCAATTAATATCTAAATAACAGAGTTAGTGTCAGGATTAAAGTAAAATATAGTTAATATGCCAGCCACAGTTGTCACTGAAATACCAACTTCCTTATTTTCTCCTTCCAAGGGAGTAGAAGCTCTGGCTCACTCAGTCTTGCATTTCTAAATTTTTAAGTTCTCCAGAAAGACAACATAAGACACCATCCATGAAAAAGTATAATAAATTTAGTTCTTTTCTTCCCAAATACCTTTCCTAGATCTTAGATCCGGTTTCTCCAGACTGACATCTCTTTGCCGCCTTTCTTGCTTTTTATTTCTTTTGTTCACTGTGGGGTCTCTTGGGCCTAGAATCATCACACATAGTAGATAGCGAATATCTACTATGTTAGATACCTAATATCTACTACATGCTGGAAGGTTACAAAACCAGTGTTGGTTTTACTGGCACATAGTAGATACCCAGTAAATATTATTTATGTTGGAATTAATGCTGATTACTAGTGCCTATGAATACCTCCAAGGATCCTCGTATTCCATAGCACACATTTTGGCAACTGCTACCATGGAGAAAAAATTGGTTTAAGTTAACCACCCTGATCCTCCTCTTTTCTGTTGAGACCTGCAGCAGAATGAATGGGAAACTCTTTCTTTGTTATGTCAGAAACAGGCTGTAAAATAAGTCTGGTAGCTAAGCCTTTTAAAGTCACAATCTGTGTAGGATTTATGTGCCAGTGATATGAAAGGATTAAATCTGTCTATGCTCTGCTAGCCTTTGGTGACAGGGCACTGTATTTCTGTTATCAGAGCCTCTGTCCTTGGTTTTCACACCAGTGCCAATGGATTTAGACGTGCAGGCTGGGCCTCACTGTTGTGTGTACACATGTCAGCTGCAGGAAGCCCATCCTAGGTGACAGCAGTGTCACTTTGGTACCACATCCTCTTTTACACCTGATCACACTTGCAGAGGGGAATGCCAGAAGCACCTCTGAGTTGCAAGACTGGAGGGAGTGATGGCAGGATGAGGTGCCAGATGGACATCTTGAAATGCAGAGGGGCCTGCAGACCCCCAGTGTGAGCACTGAGAAAACTGATCAAGCTTGTGTGTCCCATGCAGATTCTCACTGGGACTGGAACCCAGTGGCACAAAGTGGTGACAATTCAGGAACCAGAGAGAGGCTGGTGGACCCGATGCTTGGCAGTGACCCAAAGATGAAGTTCCCCAGCAGGTGAAGATTGACTTTGACTGACTTCTGTTTGTTGGGCAGAGTTACACCCTCATCGTGTTGGAAATCTGAACTTGTTCATCCAGGCTTGACAGGTGGACGCTGGCTCAGATTTTCCTCCCCTGGAGCCCACTTTCTGCCCGCTTGGGTGGATTCAATCCTGGTATGACTCAATCAGCTAGGGGGTTAGAACAGGGGGTGGGAGAATGATGTTGACTTGGAGAGGGGGCCCTGCATTCAGATATTTTAATATTTATACATAGAAGTGAAAACAATTAGTTTACCACAAGACAGGGGTGAGAATTTTAAATTGCAAGTTGGAATTTGGAGGAAGACAAAGGGAGCTTATAGTTTTGCTGTGCACTGGAGAGGCAGCAAGCAGAGAAATGGGGAGAGAGGGATTTGGGGGAATGCTGTGGGTTTTGAATTGAACACAGTTCATTTAATCCTGTTTTGGGAAATGCCAATAAAGCTGGAATCATTTTTGCCAATAATTATTTTTGGATCCCGGAGTGGGTTCCTTGGGTCATGGTGGAATAGAATCCCTGTCTTACCTGTGACCTTTGAGCTGAAGGATGCCTATAAACTCACTTCGAGAATAAACGGCCATTCAGAAGGAGCCATTTGTAGGTTTGGCAAAACCTCTTGTTTACGGTCACACCATATCCATAACTTGACTTCTCATTCTGCCTGGCTTTGCCACTTTTCACAGCTTGGGGCTGACCACAACTGCAATAAGCACCCTTCCCCCAAATTGTTCCTTAGGTTGGTTCAGCTCTGGACAAAACTAGAGCAGACACAGGCTCTTTTGACACTTCCATATTCCAGGTTCGATTCGCATGTTGACACAGAGTCCTCATGAGTGTCCTCCAGACATATCTGATATTCATATTTAGGTATTCATGACTTGGCATTTTGCAAGTAATGTGTAAAATACATATTTACACCAGGAAAATGTGCATTTTAAATGGACTCTTAAATGAGAGTTCATGTTTAACAGGAAAATATTTCTAGATGACAGAATTGCAGAAACTACACAAAGAAGGTATATGGGGATAGAAAAGTTGCATCCGGAGCACTCTTTAAACACCACACTCCTTGACTTTCGTACATGCGAAGTCTTGCTCTCCCTTTTAATTTCCTTGTTTAGGTGGACATTCATCGTCACCTGGCCAGCCGGCATCCTCTGCCCCTTTCTAGTGGCTTCCTGATTTTCTCGGAGGATCCCACCCCTCCTACACTGTGCGTAGTTTAGTGTGAAGCTAAAATCTGGCATCTGCCTCATGCCGAGGAGAACCGAGAGGCCAGCTCCCCACTCTCAAGATCTCCATGTGGCCAGGAGGAAGGCACGTGACCTAGTCTCGCAATAAGGGGGCTTTTTTTTTTCTATTGGACTTTTACTCATGAGCAAGTGACATTAACACCAAAAAATGCTTGGTGTGTATTATTCCCAGCCACCATGTTTCCCCAGCCTCCTGTTCCTACCAGGAGACCATTCTACGAGTGTAGTTATGTTTCCTAGACTTCCAGAGATGCTCTTCTTTATGCTCATTTCCAAAACTGGTTTGTAACCTTCCAGTGGATTCTCTGAATTCCCCAGATCTTTTCACTAAATGCACCACTCCTCCCCAACTGCCCCCCTACCTGCCCACCATCTTTCTTTTTCTTATAGGAGCCTGCTAATTAAGCCAGTTATTACAGCAACCAAGAATCCTAGACATGACAAAGTTAAAATAATGATTAATAGGCCGGGTGCAGTGCCTTACACCTGTAATCCCAGCACTTTCAGAGGCCAAGGTGGGCAGATTGCCTGAGGTCAGGAGTTCAGTACCAACCTGGCCAACATGGTGAAACCCCATCTCTAATAAAAATACAAAAAAATTAGCCGGGCATGGTGGTGTGCACCTGTAGTTCCACTTACTCGGGAGGCAGAGGCAGGAGAATCACTTAAACCCAGGAGGTGGAGGCTGTAGTGAGCCAAGACTGCACCACTGCACTCCAGGCTAAGTGACAGAGTGAGACTCTGTCTCAGTAATAATAATAATCATGATTAATAGTTGAATAATATATACAGAAACCCTTCCATGCTCAAGGAAATTGAATGTTAACCCTGTGTTCTAAAAGGCACACACAAAAATAAATTTTGATTTTCCTGTTCAGCCTCCAAATTCAGCTTCTGAAAATTAAAAAGGGCATCTTATCTCACGCTGTTGTCTTGGTGTGTGTGTGTTTAAAGTTTTCTTTTTGAGAAAACTGTAGATTCACATTCAATTAAAGGAGATAACACAGACAGATCATGTGAATGCTTTGCCCATTTCCCCCGAGGGTAACATCTTGCAAAAGTGTTCTAGTATAATATCACAACCATGATGTGGACAGTGATTCAATCCATGGATCGTATTCAGATTTCCCCAGTTTTGTATGCTTTCAGTGGTGTCTGTGTGTGTTTACTTCCATTCAATTTTGCCACACGTGTAGGATTGTGTATCTACCACCCAGTCAAGATACACAACAATTCTACCACCACAAGCATTCCTCATGCTGTCCTTTTATAACCACACACCTTTCTCCCATGCCCCTTCCAGCCCCAACTCCAGCACCTACTAATCCATTCTCTGTTTTAATAAATAATTTTGTCATTTCAACAATTTTCTGTGAATGAAGTCATATAGCAAGTAACCCTTTGGAATTGGCTTTTTTCATTCAGTATAATCCCCCTGAGATCCATCCAAGTTGTTGCATAAACCCATAGTTTGTTTCTTTGTTGCTGAGTAGTTGTCCATTGTATGGATGTATCACATTGGTGTAATCATCCACACTGAAGGACATCTGGGTTGCTTCCAGTTTGGGCTAATACAGATAAAGCTCTATGGATATACTATATACATATTTGTATAGAAATATAAATTCTTCTGTCTTGAGTAGACACCAAGGAGTTAAATGGTTACATCATATGATAGATACCTATTTAACTTTTTAAGAAACTACAAAACTGTTTTCTAAAGCAACTGTAGCATTTTACATTCCCACCAGCAGTGTATGGGCTTTCCAGTCCCTCCCCATACTTGCCAACACTTGATATAGTCAGTTGTTTAATTTTAGCCATTGTAATAGGTGTGCAGGAACAGGTCACTAGTTTCCATTTTCATTTCTGTAATGACTTATGCTGTTAGGAATCTCTTTATATGCTTATTGGTCATCTATATGCCTTCTTTGGTAATATGCCTGCTCGATTTTTTTGCCCACTTAAAAAATTGGGCTGTTTGCTTTCCTCTTATTGAGTTTTGAGAGTTCCTTGTACGTATTCTGGATACAATTCATTTATCACAGAGAGGATTTAGACCTATTTTCTCCCAGTCTGTGGTTTGTCTTTTCATTCTTTTAATGATGTCTTTCAAAGAGAAAACACATTTTTTTGTCTGATGTTTTGTTTCAATGAGGTCCAATTTATCAACTTTTGGATCACAGTATTAGCTTCATATCTAAGAAATCTTTGCCTACACAAGGTCACAAACATTTTCTCTGATGCTTTCTTCTAGAAGTTTTATAGTTTTAAGTTTTATATTGAGGTCGGCAACCTTGCTGAGTTAATTTTTAAAAGATGGTGTGAGAATCGAAGTTAATGTTTTTGCAGATGGATGTCTAATTGTTCCATCATCATTTGTTGTTTATAGTGGGAGGGCATGTCTAGTACCAAAAAGCTGCTCTGAACATTTGTTGTGAGAAATGAAATGTTCATTTCTCTGGGATAAATGCCCAAGAATGTAATTGCTTAATTTCATAAGAAATGGCCAAACTATTTTCCAGCATGTGTTTTGAAAAAGAAAGATGTAAGAGTTAAGAACTCATATGGATTATGCCTCTGCTTCTTCCTTGTTAGTCATCGTGGACAACTTACAAAATACCTATGTCTCAGTTTCTTGGCGGGCACAGTGGCTCACACCTGTAATCCCAGCACTTTGGGAGGCCAAGGCAGATGGATCACTTGAAGTCAGGAGTTTGAGACCAGCTTGGCCAACATGGCAAAACTCCGTCTCTACTAAAAATACAAAAATTAGCCAGGCATGGTGGGGGGCGCCTATAATCCCAGCTACTCAGGAGGATGAGGCAAGAGAATCACTTGAACCCAGGAGGCAGAGGTCGCAGTGAGCTGAGGTCACGCCACTGCACTCCAGCCTGGGTGACAGAGCAGAGACTCCATCTCAAAAAAATAAAAATAAAAATAAATAAACTAATATCTATGTCTCAGTTTCCTTACTGGTAAACTAGGGACAATAATATTGTGCACCCCATTAGGTTATTGTGAAGATTAAAAGCATTAATAAAAATATTTAAAAGAATGCCTAACATGTAAGGTGTGATCAATAAATGTTACCTGTTATTGTTTGCAATTGATGTTGCTATTATTATCTTTTGTGGCTCTCCAACATATTCAAACATCCTTCCTAGAGTCTGATAATTTCTCGTATTATGAGATCCAAGGAGGAAGCTGAAACACTTGCATTTCCAGATTCTTTCGTGGTTAAAGTAGAGGCATGTGTGACCTAGGTTTCCAATCAGCGTAGCTCTGAAAGCCTTGGATTCAGAAATGAGCAATACTCAAGGGCCATGTCTTGGCAATTCATTCTTCCAAAGAACTTTGAGAGTCAGCAGTGGTGGAGTGTTAGGATTCAGTCCCAAGTTACATAGGTACCATGCAGTGATAGCAATCATCTTCTTACTGGAGAAAATCCTGCCACATGTTTGGGCATTTTTTTCTAGTTGTGTAATTTCAGAGTGTTGCTGTCTAGCCTTTCTGGAGATTATTAAACTACCAGATATAATTTAATAACTTCCTTTGCTACTTATATTGGCCAATTTTTTAATTTTTTTATTTTTGAGATGGAGTCTCCCACTGTCGCCTGGGCTGGAGTACAGTGGCGTGATCTCAGCTCACTGCAATCTCCGCCTCCCAGGTTCAAGCGATATTCCTTGCCTCAGCCTCCCAAGTAGCTGGGATTACAGGCACCCGCCACCATGCTCGGCTAATTTTTTTTTTTCGTATTTTTAGTAGAGATGGGGTTTTACTATTTTGGCCAGGCTGGTCTCAAACTCCTGACCTTGTGATCTGCCTGCCTCGGCCTCCCAAAGTCCTGGGATTACAGGCATGAGCCACCACACCTGGCTGGCCAATTTTTTTTTTTTAAAGCAATTGCTTGTGTATATCCTAACTGGATAAATTTTTATCCATATACATATACACATACACGTGCACAAAGATAGAAACTATTTGGTCATAATATATACACACACACGTATGATAAAACACATTATCGAGACAATTGGAGAGCGAGCCAGATTGTGTCATAATACCATAACATGTTAATTTCCTGATTTTGATAATTGTACTGTCGTTATGTAAGGGAATATCCTTGTTTTTAGGAAACACACACCTAAGAACTTAGGCATAAATAAAGGGGCATCAGATCTGTAACTCAGTCTCAAATGATTCAGAAGGTAGTATGTATGGAAAGAATGACGAAGCAAATATGGCAAAATGTTGAGAAACAGGAAATCTGGGGAAAGAGTGTATAGTATTCTTTGTATTGTTCTTACAGTTTTCTTTTCTTTTTTGTTTTTGGAGATGGAGTCTTGCTCTGTCACCCAGTCTGGAGTGCAGTGGCATGATCTCTGCTCACTGCAACCTCTGCCTCCTGGTTCGTGATTCTTCTGCCTCATCCTCCCAAGTAGCTGGGACTACAGGTGCCCGCTACCATGCCCAGCTAATTTGTTTTTTTTTTTTTTGTATTTTTAGTAGAGATAGGGTTTCACTATTTTGGCCAGGCTGGTCTCGAACTCCTGACCTCAAGAGATCCGCCCGCCTCAGCCTTCCAAAGTGCTGGAATTACAGACGTGAGCCACCATGGCCAGCCTGTTCTTACAGTTTTTCTACAAGTTTGAAATAATTAAAAAAATGAAAGATAAAGAAAATTAGCCAAAATGGATATTGTTGTTTGTAATTAAGAAGCTTGCAATTTCAGAAGAAGGACGGGGGAGTCCAGGATAGTGAGAGAGGCTGTTGTCTGATTTTTTTCCCCTTCACCCAGGTACCTGGACCATGTGAGAACAGCCAATAGTCACGGGCTTTAGAAGGGAGGTGTTCCTTCGACATGGGACTCAAATCCTACGTAAAACATGGCGGCATCCACTAGCAGACTCCCCTTACAACCCTGTGGTCTAATCTCCGTTTTCTAGATGGTTGAAGAAACTCTACCGTATTTCATGGTTAGAGGCAGCAATCGGAACCCGTTCTGTTGATGTCCCTTCTCCATCTCCCACGCTGGCCTAGGAGAAAGATCCAGGGCCCCACGATGGCCAAAACAAACATTTCCTCTCTGATGCTGAAAGGGAAGATATCAGCAGAACTCCACAAAACCATGAGAGCCTTCCAGGGGCAGGAAACAGAACTCTTGCCCCACGAGCCTTCTGTTATGGGTGGCTCTGAATTACTTTAATTTAAAGATTTCTGTCTTAATTCCATTCATAAACGTAAACCCATCTTTAATTTCCCAAGAAGCGGTCTTCTGGTCAAAAGCAACGCTCCTAAGCTTTAGAAGTTTTTAAGTTTCACAGGTCATGCTTTTAAAGAGTGGGATCCATAAAATGATGCCACCCCGATATTCAAGGCGCTGTTGCCATTTTTCAAGGCTGAAGTACAGACAGGGGAAAGGAGCCAGCATAAACTTTAGATGGGTAAAATAGCTCTACTCCCTAAGTCAAGAGCATTCAAACTTATTCAAGACCACATGATTTTTATTGCAATAAAGGGGTACTGAACACATCAACTAGAAAAGCTTTTACCTAAAATGTACTTGTTTAAAAGGCCAATTTCTTATAGGAAAAGGAAACGAAATTTCCTCCAGAGGATTTAGTCTGAACTGATATGCACAATATAGCGGGAAATTGTCATCTCCAGTTATCTGATGGACTTATAGACCTTGAGGGGAAGAGAAAGGAGAGAGGGAGAGAGGGAGGAGAAAAAAAGAGAAGGGAGACCATCTTCTATATGTGCTTTGATAATCTCCTGTATGGTGAAATTAAATGTACTTTAATTTACAGTATGTACTTGGATATAGTCATTTAAATACAGTCATTTTTGCTGTGTGTGCAGCCAATGTTGTATCTTCACATTCACAGATAATGCTATAAAATCTGGCTGTCCATTAGAATCTCCAGGGAGCTTAAAACTAAAACCACGGCTAAGCCTCATCTCAGACCAAATGAATCAGAAGCTCTGGGGTAGGGCCCAGGTGATTCTGCAGAACAATGAGAGCTGAGAGCCACTGCTTTAAAACAGACACTCTGCTCTGCACAATGAACACGCTCTTGCATACAGAAACCTTTTAAAATACACTAGAACTTGCTATTGAAAGTCATTCTGCAATGACGCTTTTCAGGCAAGAAAGCCACCCTTCCTCTTGGGAGGACATGAATCTGAATTGTTATACATCGTGCTTGCCTCCAATCATGTGAATGTTTACAGAGTGAGGAGGTCTGCTGCAGGACGAGCATGCATTTCTTCCTGCATGTGTATCGCACAGGAGCCACCCAGACTTTACATTTAAATTTGTCTTCCTACAGCATTTTCTCATTTGAGGCTATAAAGGAAGTAGGTCAGATGATATCATCACTATTTTACATTGACAAGGAAACAGAGAGAATGGAAATGACATTCTAAAATTATCTTTGAGACAGGACTAGAATACAGGTTTCTTTGCACCTAATGTAGGCCATTTCATCCTCCACTTTTGTTTATAGATGTGTGTGCATATATATATATATGCGTATATATAAAAAACATACATTATACATTACTTATTTTATATATATACCTAATATAAATAGATATTACTATATCTAATTTTGTGTGTGTTTCCTGCAAATAAAAATATTAAGCTACTGTTTAACTTACTTTACAACACCCTCTTCAAGGTTAATAATGGGCTTAGCTCTATCAAAATTACATATCAAGTCTGTAAGTAATAAAAGACATCACATCGGAGACATCTGCCTTTCTTAACCTTAGGCCGGCAGGTATGAGAAAATTGCAAGAAGGCATTACAAACAGAAAACCAAAACCTGCAATCACATGGAAGTGTTCACATCTTATTTAAACAGCATGTACAATAGATTGGTATCAAACTCCATTTTTATTTTTGGAAAACATAACTTTCCCTTAGATGGTTTTCTAGCCTCATTTCAGCAAAATGGACCTCGATTTCAAGATTCAGATGTGCTGCACTCTGCTTGCAGGCATAGCTGCAAGGGCATCGTTCTGCTCAGTGTTAAATGTGAGCTCTAGGTAGAAAGCATCCCTTACAGATCTGAGCCATTCCATGCTTCACATTGGCTTTGCGTGGTATGCTGAACTCAAAAGGCAATTACTGCTTTCTCTTGCAATTTATGGAACCCTTCTAAATCTTTATCCCTGGTGATAAAAGCATCAAAATGAAGACAAGTTTTGAAAAGAAAGTGACAGGGAAAGGATCACATACATAGACTCTTCTGGGATTTTTTTTTGAAAGTTATTTGCTTATTTCAATAATATTTGTCAAGATGAAAAGACACCAGTGGATTCCTCGGGCTCTCAGTGTCCAGGCAGCAGCTGCTGCTCTGTTGATAGAGGGAACATCTGTGAAAGATTCTGGGCAGTGAGGGGGAAGATTTCATTGTCAGCAAAAATAAAGCTTTAGGAAAAACCAAGTCCTGGGAAGCAAGAAGGAGCTTGGAAAAAACACTGAAACCTAGCATATGAGGAGGCCATATCGTATATAATTAATCACAAAAATGCCAAGTCTTAGCAGAAGGGGAGGAAGGAATGGATTCCTTACTGTGAATAGCGAGGTTCCCAAATATCGTCAAAGGAATTGCTTACTCCTGCTTGAACTCTGGGAGCGCAGAAGGATCTGATCGAATCACAAAAGTCTACAATGAAAGGGGGTTCACAGGTTAATGAGTCATTTTACAGATGCCGAAGCTGAGACACACAGACGCACTTACGTCTTGATGTACCATATTGAATTAATAATTTGCTCATTACGGAACCAAATAGTTACATAATAATGAGGGGTTTTTTCTTGGTTTCCTTTTGTTTTTCAGCTTTAATAAAAGAAATCGCATCAGATATATCTATCTTTCTTAATCTTAATCCAGCAGGTATGGGGAATTGAAAGAGGGCATTCCAAGCAGAAAACCCAAACCTGCCATCACATGAAAGTGCTCAGATCTTATTTAAGCAGCATGTACAACAGTTTGGTTATGAAACTTATTTTTTCTGTATAACTGATACATAAAAATTGTAGATGCATGTGATATATACATGTGATATTCTGAGACATGTATGCATTGTGAAATGATTAAATTAAGCTGATTATCCTAACCAGATAATACTGAGTTTTATCTTCTGCTTTTAGAATCTCTCTTTGATATCTTTGCACAGATACTGTCTTTTTCTTGGAAGAGATAGCTCAGAAATTTCTTGCAGACTTCTAGCTATGACTCCTTGGACAGAGTGTGTGTGTGTGTATGTTTTGCTTTGCTTTATTGTTTTATTACATTTTCTGTTTCATTGTAAAGTTTAAGGGAGTTTCCACAGATACTATCCCGAGAACATAGGGTTATTTGCCAAAACAGCTCCCAGTTTTTTTTTTTTTTTTGGAGCAATGAACTGAAGGCTAATGGACAGGAAACTGAGACTGCATTTTCTTTCTTTCTCCCTTTAAGAAATTAGCCTTTGGAAACATGTTTAATACAGATCTCCCATTTGAGGCCCTCGAAGAATAAGCCTACCATCTCAGAGACACTGAATACTCAAGCAAGAAAATGGCCACAGCAATTTCTCGTCTATGATGGCAAAAACCATTCATCATTAAATAAAACATTTAAGCAGTAATTTAAATATTACAGGCTGTGAAAGTGCTCAGGCAGTGAATAGGAACTAGAATTAGAAGCCCATTCCTGTCCTTGAGCAAATAATTAAAACCTTACTGTTTCTCACACTTTTCTACAAAAATGGAATGAAAATGCTGGTCATTCATCCATCTCACATGAAACTCTGAGAGCTCATGAATAGTTACAAGGTTCTTTCTCAAAGGGAGATCCTTGTGGAAGAGGTGAGCAATAAACAGCAGACATTCTTTCCTGAGTTTTCCCTGATAATTCTGATTTCAAATTTTCTGTTCCTTTCCCAGGGCATATGTCAATCTTTTTGCCAGGTTTCTCTGCTAATCCCAATCAAAACCCTTTTCTTACGGTCCTTAGACACAGATAAAATCTCCTGAAGTCAGAGAATCCCAAGAAAACCCAAAGAATAACTAGAGAGAAAAGGCTTAAGTAATTTCTTTAGTATTAGCATAAGGCATTTGTTAATTTGCATGACTGATTTACAAATGTCAGAAAACAGCCCTTTGCTAGTTTCCCCACACTCTTCATTTTTCTGGGATAAAACTGCAAATGGCAGTACAGCAAGCCCGTCCTGGACTCTCTCTCCCCACTTAGAGGAATCTTCTGTACTATCTATGTTCATGTGTCTTAAAGAGTTCATTTTTTTCCCTTAAGATTTTGTTCCAGGAGAAGGCAGCAAAAGAATCACTGTTTTGGCCAGAAGTATTAATAAATACTCCTTATTTTTCTCCAGCTTTTTCAGACTCAACACTCTGGCTCACATGGGGGTAGAGATTGGTTTCCCCTTGTTCTGAATGTTTTGAAAAAGGAACTTCATGGGACAGGATGATTTCAGGAAAAACCAGAAAGAAATTTGACCCAATAGGTTCCCCATTAAGTATACTCTTATATATTGGTCAGAGGTCACAAATTAGGTCTTATTTAACAGATAAGCTCTATTTGTGAGGAAAAAAATATCAGGACTCTGAGGCAGGAACAAAGATAGGAGAAAGGAAGTAGAAAAGTCAAGTAAAAAATATCACCAAGAGAATTCAGAAGCACCCGAGGTAGGACAGATTCCCGGAGGTCAAAGGATCTTAGGAATCATCTAATTCATTTTTCCCTTATTCATGATTCCCTTCCACAATATCTTACATAAGTGGCTGCTCAGACAAGTTTTCTCATATCTCCAATGAAAAAAAATCTTAGTAATTCTAAGACATTTACTACCATCCGTTTTCAAGGATACCCACTTTCATAATCTGCAAAAAGACAACTGGGACAGATTCAGAACCTATTCAGTGTTGGGGGGCGATTTTGTTTCAAAAGTCAAAATGTCGTCACTGCTTTAATACCCTTCTATCAGTAGATCATGTAGGCATAAAATCGATAAGGATATGAATGATCTGAACAGCATGGCCAACTTTATGTAACTGAATATATAGAATACTTCATCCAAACACAGTAGAATATACATTTTTCTAAAATCCCATGGAAAATTCACCAAGATAGATCCCATTATGAGCCATAAAACACACCTCAAAAATTTTGACAAATATAGACCATACAAAGTATGTTTTCAGGCCACAAAATAATTAAATTATAGATCAGTAACAGAAAGATAGCTGGAAAAATTTGCGACATGCAGCAAAAGCAGTGCTTAGAGGGAAATATGTAGCATTATCTGCATATATTATAAAAGAAGAAAGATCAATAATCTGATTCTAGGTTATGAAATTAAACTTAAAAAAGAACAATTTCAACCTGATACATGTAGAAGAAAAGAAATAATTAGAGGAGAAGCCAATGATTGAAAACAGAAAAACAACAAAGAAAATCAATAAAACAAAAAGCCAGTTATTTGAAAAGATTAATAACCACCTTTTGTTATATTGATTTTCTTTGTTGTTTTTCTGTTGTTTTTCTTTGTGGAGACACAAATTGCCAATATCAGATATAAAACCTGGGTCATTATTACTAATCCCACGGACGTTGAAGGGATAATAAAGAAATATTATGAACAACCCTATAACTACAAATTGGATTACTTAGATGAAATGGACTGACTCCTTAAAAAACATAAACTACCAAAACCTACAGGAGAAACAGACAATCTGAATAGCCCTATATTTACTAAAGAAATTAATAAGTAACCTTTCTTCCTCCACCTCCCAAAGAAGTGTACCAGGCTGAGATGGTTCCGCTGGTGAATCCACCAACAATTTACTAAAGAAATAATGCCAATTCTCCACATTTTCTTCCAGAAAATAGAAGCAAAGAAAGTGCTTCCTAAATCATTCTGTGAGGCCAGCATTATTCTAATATCAAAGCCAAATTAACACATTATAAGAAAGGAAAATGACAGTCTAATATCTCTCATGAACATATATGTAAAAATCCTCAACAAAATATTAGCAAATACAATTCAATAATCTGTAAAAAAATTATACACTATGACCAAGTAGGATTTATTCCAAGTATGCAAGGCTGGTTTGACATTAAAAAATCAATTAATGTAATCTACTATATCAACAGGCTAAAGCAGGAAACTCATATGATCACGTCAATTGATGCAGAAAAAGCATTTGAAAAATTCTAACATTCATTCATAAGAAAAAAAACTCTCAAAAAGGAATGCACAGAAACTTCCTCAATTTGATAAAGAGCATATATTTTAAAACCTATTGCTAATATCATTCTTTTTAGTGAGATCCTGAACAATTTTCCCCTGAGACCACGAATAAGGAAAAGATGTCCTTTCTTATCACTCTGATTCAGCATCATACTGGAAATCCTAGTTAATAGAAAAAAATACAAGAAAAAGAAGTAAAAGCTATACAGATTGGAACAAAAGAAATAAAACTGTCTTTATTTTAGATGGCATAATTGGCAATGTAGAAATAACAAAGAATCTACAAAAATATGCTGGAAGTAATCAGTAACTATAGCAAGATTACAAGATACAAGGTCAATATACAAGTTAATTTTTCACCATATACAGCAATGAACAATTGGAGTCTTCCAATTTGAAATGAAAAATACCATTTACAATCGCATCAGAAAAAAATGAGAAATATTTAGATATAAACCTAACAAAATATTTATAGGACCCACATACAGAAAACTTCATAACACTGATGAGAGAAATCAAAGAGGATTTAAATAAATGGGAAATAGTCTGGGTTCATTTTGAAAGTCTCAATATTGTTAAGATGTCAGTTGTTCCCAATTTGATTTATAGATTCAATGCAATTTCAGTAAGAATCCCAGCAAGTTATTTTGTGGGTATCAGCAAAGTTATTTTGTGGATATCAGCAAACTGATTCTAAAGTTTAAATGTAAAGACAAGAGACCAAGAATAGCCAAAACAATACTGAAGAGGAAAAACAAATATGGAGGATTCACACTACCCAAATTCAAGACTTACTATTAAGCTATACTCATAATAATCAAGACAGCATGGTGTTAGTAAAAGAATAGACATAAAGATCAATGTATCAGAATAGAAAGCCCAAATATAGACAAACACAAATATAGGCCATAGATTAAAAAAAAAAAAGATGCAAAGGCAATTCAATGGGGAAAGAATGGTATTTTCAACAAATGGTGCTCTAACAACTGGATATCCATCTATATAAAAATGAACCTAGACACAGACCTACACCTTCCATAAAATTAACTCAGATATAAAACTATGAAACTTCCAAAAGAAAATCTATATATAACTTTGGGTTTGGTGATGAAGAGGTTTTTTTTTTTTGATACTATATCAAATGCACAATATATGAAAGAAAAAAATTGACAATTTGGACCTTTTAGAATTAAAAACTCAGCTTTGAGAAAGACACTTTTAAGAGAAACAGAACCAGAAATACCATTTGACCCAGCAATCCCATTACTGGATATATATCCAAACGATTATAAATCATTCTACCATAAAGACACATGCACACGTATGTTTACTGCAGCACTATTTACAGTAGCAAAGACTTGGAACCAACCCAAATGCCCATCAGTGACAGACTGGATAAAGAAAATGTGGCACATATACAACAGGAATATTATGCAGTCATAAAAAAGAATGAGCTCATGTCCTTTGCAGGGACATGGATGAAGCTGGAAGCCATCATTCTCAGCAAACTAACACAGGAACAGAAAACCAAACTCTGCATGTTCCCACTCATAAGTGGGGGTTGAACAATGAGAACACATGGACACAGGGAGGAGAACATCACACACCGGGGCCTGTTAGGGGGTGGGGGACAAGGGGAGGGAGAGAATTAGGACAAATACCAAATGCATGCAGGGCTGAAAACCTACAATACAGGTTGATAGGTGCAGCAAACCACCATGGCACATGTATACCTATGTAACAAACCTGCATGTTCTGCATGTCTATTCCAGAACTTAAAGTAAAATTTTAAAAAAGAGAGAGAAAGAATCAAAAAAGACAAGCCACAGTTTGGAAAAAAATACATTTGCAAAATATGTATCTGATAAAGGACTTGTATCCAAAATATACAAAGAACTATTACAACTCAGCAATAAAACTAACAAGCCAATTAAAGTATAGGCAAAATATCTGAATGATATCAAAGAAGATACATGCATGGCAAGTTAAGTATACAAAAAGATATCCACTGTCATTTGTCACTTGGGAAATGACAATTTAAACAACAATGAGATACCACTAAATACCTACTAGAACGACTTAAATTAAAAAATTGGCAATGCCAATTGCTGGTGAGGATGCGGAGCAACAAACACTCTCATTCATTGCTGGTGAAATGCAAAATAATATAGCCACTTTGGAAGACAGTTTGCCAGTTTCTCACAAAGCTAAACAGAGTCTTCACTTATGCTGCAGCAATAAGGCTCCTAGGTTATTTACCCAAATGATCTGAAAACTTATGCCCACATAAAAACCTGCGCATGAATATTTACAGCAGATTTATTCATAATTGCCAAAACTGGAAGCAACCAAGATGTCCTTCAACAGGTGAATGGAGAAACCAACAAACTAGTACATCCAGACAAAGGAACACTATTCAGTGATAGAAAGGAATGAACTATCAAGCCATGCAAATACATAGACAAAACTCTGTGAAGTAGAAGAAGCCACTCTAAAAAGGCTACATACTATGTGATTCCACATATATGACATTCCGGATAAACCAAAATTACAAAAACAGTTAAATATATCAGCGGTTGCCAGAGTTTAGGGTGAAGAGGTTGAATAGGTGAAGCACAGAGGAATTTTTAGGGCAGTGAAACTATTCTCTATGATAATATAATGGTGGATGTGTGCCACTGCATTCGTCGTTCAAACCCTTAGAGCCTTATAGTACAAAGAGTGAAACTTAATTTGTGCAAATTTCAAAAAACATCATTCATAAGGTCCAGGAATCCCAGGGTGGAATTCAGAATGTCAAAAGAAAAGTCTGACTCTATTACACACATTTGAAGCAACCTCACCAAAGGCTATGAAGGAAAAAATATTCTTACTTAAGTAACTTCTGAAACGAGTGAAATATGTAAGGCCAAGGGCGAAAGAAGCTGTACATAAGCACTGCACTGTAGTTGATAAAGTTGTTTCTTAATGGGGTGTAGGTATGGCTTAACATTCTGAAACCACTATACACGTGAAATTGAATGTATACATAAATGGATGGCATAAAGTGGGAGCCAGGTGTCTCACTGTTAGAGTGGGAGTTTCCAGATAAACAGGGAGAGAAGGTAATGGAATAGAGCTGAAGACATCAGTATGAGCTTATGTTAGCTTACTATTTATATAGAGGGTTACATGTAGAGATATTTAGGGATATATGTATATGCATGGGTTAATGTATACAAATATTTCCTTGCTCTGTCAGCTGAGAGGGCCTAGATGCAATGACAACCCGGTAGCAGTGAGCACACCTCGTGTCCAGGTCTTGGTTTCTAATATAATTTTTGTTTTTTGAGATGAGTCTTGCTCTGTCGCTCAGGCTGGAGTGCAGTGGAGTGATGTTGGCTCACTGCAACCTCCCCCTCCTGGGTTCAAGCAATTCTCCTGCTTCAGCCTCCTGAGTAGCTGGGACTACAGGTGTGTGCCACCACGTCTGGCTAATATTTTTGTATTTTTTTTTTAGTAGAGATGGGTTTTCACCATATTAGCCAGGATGATCTCAAATCTCCTGACCTCGTGACCTGCCCGCCTCGGCCTCCCAAAGTGCTGGGATTACAGGTGTGAGCCACTGTGCCCGGCCTATTTTCTAATAAATAGAACCAGGACTCCCTAGAGAAATGGCTGATTCTAGGACAGGGGAAAGAAAAATACAAGATGTACATAAAATATCTTGTTTTTGAGCAGGTAAGTACTCAAAATATAACAAAACAAAACCCACATGAGAATGTGTCAAAGGACATATACATTAGGAGACAACTGAACAAGAGCATCCCATGGCCAAGGACAGAACAATTCAAGCAACAAAATTAAGGAGTAATGAATTACAATCCAAAGTATGAAATTAATATAAATCAGTGAGTTCATCTGATATAAATAAATAATTTAATACCTAAATAAATGGGAAACGAGAGACATAACTTCCATGCAGAAGAATTCCAAATACTTCTTGTAGATATCCTGCCCTGAAGTAGGTGAAGCATAATTCCCCACTCCTTAAGTGTGGGCTGCACGTTGTGACTTCTTCCCAAAAAGTGCAGTATGGTAAGAGGTGGGAGAAAGAATAACTTTGTAGTGGAGAAATGCGATCAACACCAGATGACTGAGGTGGACATCAACCATGAGAAGCCATGTTGATAGCATGTACACTCGATATAGTGGGATGGGAATGGTGGTCCTTCACTTCTGTGCTCTTCCTCCCCCAAACCCATAATCCCAGTGTAGTCATGAGAAAAACATCAGCCAAATCCCAATTGAGGAGCATTCGACAAAATATCTAAGCAGTCCTGCTCAAAACGATCAAGGTCATCAAAACCAAGGGAGGTCTAAGCAACTGTCCCAACCAAGAAGAACCCAAGGAAACGTGACACTAAATGTACTGTGACATCCTGGATGGAATCGGGAACAGAAAAAGGACATTAGGTAAAAAGCAAGGAAAACAGAATACTGTACAGGCTTTGGGTAATTAATCATGTATCAATACTGGTTCATTAATTGTGATAAATATACCATACTAACACAAGATATTAGCAATAGGGGAAACTGGATGTGGGGTTGATAGAATTTCTTTCTGCTATATTTTCCATTTTTCTGTAAATCTATAACTAAAGTGGAAAAAAAAAGTCTACTAAAAGCAAAACAAAACATGGCCATTGGGTCAGGATCTTGCACTTTGCCAGCACTTTTCCTGGGGATGGCATATAGGGAGGTGTCTGAGGGGTCTGTTTTCCTTGAAAATGACTCCAAAGTTTGGAATAATTGAGTGGGGAATGTCACCACCAGTCTGACCGTTAATACTTTGTACTAATATGCATAAGATTTTGTGTCGGGAAAATGCCAAGTATAACGTCCATTATAGTCTAACCTTCATTGAGACATGAAAGATACATGAATAAAAGCAGTATCTCATAAATGCCACTACAAGGGTGATAGAAGGTGCAATAAAAATTCTGAGGATGAAAAGATCACAGCAGTTGTATTAGTCTGTTTTCACACTGCTGATAAAGACATACCTGAGACTGGGTCATTTATAAAGAAAAAGAGGTTTAATGGACTCATAGTTCCACGAGGCTGGGGAGGGCTCACAATCATGCGGAAGGTGAAAGGCATGTCTTACATGGCAACAGGCAAGACAGAAAATGAGAGCCAAGTGAAAGGGGAAACTCTTTAAAAATATCATTAGATCTCATGAGACTTATTCACTACAATCCTCCAGAACAATATGGAGGAAACCACACCCATGATTCAATTATCTCCCACTGGGTCCCTCCCACAACGTGTGGGAATGATGGGAGCTATAATTCAAAATGAGATTTGGGTGGGGACACAACCAAACCATATCAGCAGTCATGAATGACAACGTAGGAGTGCGGCACAAAGGAGTGAGCAGGGAATTCCTGGTGTAAGAGTTCTTGTAGGCAAAGGTGCAGAGGTAAGAAATACTTAGGATTAGTTCAATTTAACCAGACCAATGTATTCATATGGTCAAGTTAAAAATGAGGCTACAGGCCAGGTGTGGTGGCTCAAGCCTGTAATCCCAGCACTTTGAGAGGACAAGGCAGGCAGATCACGAGGTCAGGAGGTCAAGACCATCCTGGCTAACGCGGTGAAACCCCATCTCTATTAAAAATACAAAAAATTAGCCGGGCGTGGTGGCACATGCCTGTTGTCCCAGTTACTCGGGAAGCTGAAGCAGGAGAATCAATTGAACCTGGGAGGCAGAGGTTGCAGTGAGCCAAGATCGTGCCATGGCACTCCAGCCTGGGCGAGAGACTCCATCTCAAAAAAAATAAAATAAAATAAAATAAGGCTAGATTTTATGTGACAGGCAAAAGGGAGTCTTCTATAGTTTCTCAGTAAGAAAATCACAGAATTAAATAAAAATTTTAAGTAGTGATTCGCCTGCATACATTGCCTCTCTCTCTTTCAGTCCAATCTAGAAAGGCTTCTGCCTGGCCACCAATGCGTTGGTTGTTGTTGTTATCTACTTCAGTGTTGTCATATCGAATAGACACACTTGTAGTTTTATCTCTAGTTTCTCAGCTGAATTTAACACTGCTATTGATTGCTTTCCCTTGAAACAAAGTTTTCTATCAGTGTCCGTAACACCACCCTTCCTGGATCTTCCCCTTCTCTCTCCAGCTACTCTTATTTGCTGGTTCTTCTTTCTCTCTCCACCCTCTAGGTGATGTGGTTCTTCAGGTCCCCCCTCCTCCTTTCTCCTTTTCTTTTCTTATGCTTCTCCCTAGTTGACCTCATTTATCCCCATGGCTTGGTTTATTTCCATCAGTTTGATTTTTTATTCCACAGTTTATATCTCAAGCCCAGAATTCTTCTCTAAGTTCCACTCTTATAGACACAGCTGTCCATGGGACTCCTATTCTTGGATGCCTAAGAATTATGGAAGAACTATCTCAACGCTGACATGTCCAAAATTGGTCTTTCAACCTCCCCTCCCTCCACTTCAAATCACCCCCTAATCTTTCACATTTTCATAAACGGCACTACCATCACTTCGTTCTGTACAGAAACCTTAAAGTCAGCCTCGATTCTGCCCTTGGCCTCACTGCCCCCGCACCCCACCATCCAGTCCAGCTCTGTGATCTTACAATTATGCATTTGTTTACATATTGTTGTCTGTGTCCCCCATGAAATCATGAAATCCAGAGGGATAAACTATGCCTCTTTTTCTACCGTGGCATGCAAACTCAGAGGCTGATACACAATAACCATGCACACATTTAAAAATCAATCTGCTGGGCTGGGCGTGGTGGCTCACACCTGTAATCCCAGCACTATAGGAGGCTGAAGGGGGTGGATCACCTGAGGTCAGGAGTTTGAGACCAGTCTGGCCAACATGGTGAAACCCCATATCTGCTAAAAATACAAAAATTAGCTGGGTGTGGTTTCGGGCATCTGTAGCCCCAGCTACTGAGGAGGCTGAGGCAGGAGAATCGCTAGAACCCGGGAGGCAGAGGTTGCAGTGAGCCGAGATTGCGCCACTGCACTCCAGCCTGGGTGACAGAGCAAAACTTCATATCAGAAAAAAAAAAAAAAATCAATCTGCTGGAGCCTGTAATCCCAGCTACTGGGAAGACTGAGGCCAGAGGGCTACTTGACATCAGGAGTTTGAGGTCAGCCATTGCAACATGGCAAGACCACATCTCTACAAAAATAATAATAAAAAATAACTAGCCGAGCACGGAGGCTGCAGTGAGCTAGGACTGCACTAGCACACTCCATCCTGTAAGACAGAGGGAGACCCTTGTCTCTAAAAATAGTAATACATTAAAAAAAACATCTGGCCACAAGGGGTACTGGCAGTTTCAAGATGCAAAGCTTAGTGAGGAGGCTAATGCTCCAGTCAGGCACCATGTCCCTAATTTATACTCCAGCCTCTTATGTAAGAAAAATGGGAGGTAGAAAGGGCACAAATGTGAGAGACATTAAGAAGGTAGGAGAGACAGAATTTTGTTACTGCTTTGATAAGAAAGGAGAGGGAACAAAGATGGTTCAAAGGTGTGGAGCCCAGGGAGACAGATCCACAAATCACTGAGAAAGGTGAGCCTGGAGAGGCAGCATCGGACAAGCACCATGAAGGCTGCCTGCTGGGAGCCTGTGCCACACGTGTGTCTGGCTTCCTCTCGTGCTGTTAATGACTTTTATAATTTTATTATCTATCACATCAAACCAAAGTTTTGTCTGAAGTGGGATGTTGAAGATTTCTCGTGAGCTTCCTCATTGTTATGCAGAGGAAAGGCTTTTGGGGTCAGGTAAAAAAATTGGGTCTGACTTGCAGGATGGTCCCTACTAGCCATCCCTCGTAACAATGGTCATTCACCTCTGCAATCTTGGAATCTTCTGTAAAATGGCAATAACTACTTCATGCAGTTGTGAGAATTCTAGGGAATACACATGGTCTGGTCTGGGCTGTCGCCTGTCCTGTGGTGTTTTTGAGCCCAGCTCACCCCTCATTCTTTTTGTTAAGTTCAGGGGTACATTTGCAGTTTGCTATATAGGTAAACTTGTGTCTTGGGGGTTTATTGTACAGATTATTTCATCATCCAGGTGTTAAGCCCGGTACCCATTAGTTATTTTTCCTGAGCCTCTCCCTCCTCCCAACCTCCACCCTCTGATAGGCCCCAGTGTGTGCTGTTCCCCTCTATGTGTCCGTCTGTTCTCATCATTTAGCTCCCACTTATACGTGAGAACACGCAGTATTTGGTTTTCTGTTCCTGAGTTACTTCGCTAAGGATGATGGCTTCTAGCTCCACCTATGTCCCTGCAAAGGACACCATCTCGTTTTTCATGGCTGCATAGTATTCCATGATGTATATGTACCATATTTTCTTTATCCAGTCCACTACTGATGGACATTTAGGTTGATTCCGTGTCTTTGCTATTGTGAATGGTGCTGCAATGAACATACATGTACAAGTGTCTTTATGGTAGAATGATTTATATTCTTTTGGGTATATACCCAGGAATGGGATTGCTGGGTTGAATGGTAGTTCAGTTTTTAAGTGTTTTAGGAATTTCCACACTGTTTTCCACAGTGACTGAACTAATTTATACTTCCACCAACAGGGTATGGACATTCCCTTTTCTCTGCAACCTCACCAGCATCTGTTATTTTTTGACTTTTCAATAATAGCCATTCTGACTGGTGCGAGATGGTATCTCATTGTGATTTTGATTTGCATTTCTCTAGTGATCAGTGATGCTGAGCTTTTTTTTCATATGCTTGTTGGCTGCATGTATGTCTTCTTTTGAAAAGTGACTGTTCGTGTTCACATCCACTTTTAAATTCCTCATCATTTCTAACATGGGGCTGTGCACGCACTGTTCGCATCATCACGATTCACAATCCTTGATTATATTCCTACCTAGTTTCAAGGCATAGTGTGGGAATAAATGAGATAATGCTGCCTGCCCCTAATTATCTACTTTCTAACTGATTTACAGCAAGGTCTTACTCTTGGCCTGGCCTCACCCTGACCCAAGGAGATATTGGACAGCTTCTCTGTACTGCCAGTTGCTGTGTGCTACGGAAAAGGAGTTCACCTTCAGCATCAGTTTAATGAACACAGTTGGTAAGGAAAAATACCAGGTACATTCCCAAATCAAGCATAGGTGCCTTTGAACATTATCTGTGGTTTTGAACTGAATCTGCTATTGCTTCGTTTACATTAACCAGGTTGATGAGAATGGGCTATGTGCCATAATGCTAACAGGGCTTAAAGCTCTTTGGAGAGAAGATAAGCCGTAAACACAAGGCGTTATCACAAAAGTTTTATGCATGAGAATGAATCCTCAAAAGTATGAAAGGTAAGAAATGACATCTTTCTTTTTGCTAAATTTTTTTCTTCACAGAGCTGACTTTAAAAATACACACACACACACACACACACACACACACACACACACAGAGTTTTCTGTGTCTGTAGGAGGCTCAAAAACTTCAAAAATTGTCGGTGAGTACACCTGGCATTCAGAGCTCTAAAACGCTGTCCTAAGGTGATTCTTGGATATCTGAGAAAGCCAGTTTTCATAACAGAAGCATCTTATTCTTTACTGTTTGTGGTGATAGGCCAATTTTGCATTTTATCTTCTCTCCCCTCCGATTCCAGTGTAATGAATGCATGTTCTCAGGGGTTATTTATGCAAGTATTTCCATTTTAAAAACAAGACACTGGGGAAGGGAGAAGCAACTTTGAGACTACCACTAAGGACCCTAGGGAAAAGGTCCTGTAAATGGATCCGGTATGGGATTTCCGCCCTGAATCATGGACTATTTAGTCAATTGATTTGATCATCAATGTTTTATTGAACCGACTCACCTGCACACCCTTCACAAAGCTATCATCACTCTTCGAAAGGGTTATTCTCTCCTTTGTGCTACTATAAACATGGCATTTGTCCAGAAGTTGAGGTCCAGCATGAAATGCAGAAGAACCTGGGCTATTTCCTGGCTTTTAAAAATGATTCTTGTGCTACGGGTGATCCTACTTGTCTCTATATCTGGGATCTTTGGAAAGGCCCTGGGTATATTGAAATCTACCCGTGAGTAGCTCTAGAATATTTGTGTTCAGACCATTTCCACAAAGTTCTCCAAATTGTTCTTCTCTTGGCAAATCTTTACTTATTTATTTATTTATTTTTATTTTTTTTTTTTAGATGGAGTCTCGCTCTGTTGCCCAGGCTGGAGTGCAGCGGCATGATCTTGGCTCACTGGAACCTCCGCCTCCTGGGTCCAAGTGATTCTCCTGCCTCAGCCTCCTGACTGGCTGGGACTACAGGCACTTGCCACCACTCCCGGCTAATTTTTGTATTTTTAGTAGATACAGGGTTTTACCACGTTGGCCAGGATAGTCTCGAACTCCTGAGCTCAGGCAATCCGCCTGCTTTGGCCTCTCAAAGTGCTGAAATTACAGGTGTGAGCCACCGCGCCCGGCCTTATTTATTTTTTCAAGATGGAGTCTCGCTCTGTCACCCAGGCTGGAGTGCACTGGTGCAATCTTGGTTCACTGCAACCTCCGCCTCCCGGGTCCAAGTGATTCTCGTGCCTCAGCCTCCTGAGTAGCTGGGATTACAAGAGCATGCCACCACACCTGGCTAATTTTTGTATTTTTAGTAGAGACAGGGTTTCACCATGTTGGTCAGGCTGGTCTCGAACTCCTGACCTCAAGTGATCCAGCCATCTTGGCCTCCCAAAGTGCTGGGTTTATAGGCATGAGCCACCTTGCCCAGCCATAGCAAATATTTATTTAAATGCCTACCATGTTCCAGGCATTGTACTGGTCTCCCTTAGGGGAACATTGATTTGGGAACAGCTTGACCAGGTGGAGATCAGGCTGCAAGTTGATGTCAGGGGCCCCCTTGTCCATAGTGGAATGATGGCTGTCTCATATCCCTAGGGACAAGTCCAGAAACATCGATCTTGCCATCACATTCTCATCCCTGTTCTCAACACGTTCCTTGAGGATTTATTGGCTCACCTCTTTAGGCTGAGGGCCTTCACAGGAAGTTGACACACAACAGTCTGTGCCAACTGCCTGATGTAGGAAGGGCAGCGTGGCTTCGGAAACCTTGTTCCAGAAGTGTCCTGACTGCCCTCAGTGTGAGTCACGACCTTCAGCCAACCCTGAGGGAGTAAACACCAGGGAATCTGGGGTCACCTTCAAGTGTCTCAGAACACTCATGACACCATCCGAAGTCAACACTGGGTGACTCGTGGTTATTTAATGCTAACGTACTTGAAGTGCGCAATTGGAAATCCAATTCACTTCAGAATGTAAGAGGACTCCTTTCTTTGTTCTACAGGCTTCAGGAAGAAAATAAAAAGTTCTAGGATTCCACCATTGCCCATTTCCAGCACTTTTTGGTTTAATTTAGGCAATTCTCTCTCCTCCAGCCTCACACAAACCCAACATTTAAGCTAGTTTGAAGATCAAATGCAGAGTTAAGCAAGGCTGAAGTAATCAGAAACTAGGAATTTGATATGGTGTCATCTATTGTTTTTAACGCATTGGACAAAAAGTCAGGAGAGTGGATTCATTGACAGATGTGTACCACTGTGATAAAAACACAGTTTTGTAATATATTTGTGTTTTGCAGCTAGGCAACCAAAAATGACTAACACACAGGAAGTATGCAGTTGTGTGCTTCTTCTAGCCAAATTATGGGAATTATAAATCTCTTATTTTCTTTACGCGAATGCTTTCTATGTAAAAGAAAAAAAAAATAAAAGAAATACAGCCCCTTGAGTTTTGTGGGCTTGTTTTTGACTGACTTCTTTCCCACAGCCCTTTCATTTTCTTTCCTTAGTCTTTCTCACAGGGTAAGCAGTAGGAAGTTTTGTTAAAAGAAAAGAAGGGAGTGAATTGTAAGTTATTATTATTATTTTTAAATCCTCCAAGGACCTAAGGAAGAGTAACACAAAATGACGAATCAAACTTGGCTTCATTATGGGTGACATATTATACGAACTATGTTATATTTTTTAAGCTTTTAGGAAATAGACTGGTATTAAGGTAAAGACTTGCTATAAAATAGCTATGATTACATTGCAACTCAGATTCTAACAGTCTGCTATAAATACTGTTTGAATTATTACTGTAATTCTACAGTATCCTTCTGTCGGCTTTTTTTTTTTTTTTTTTAAAGGAACTCCATGGCATTCAATAGCTCACAGTTTGTATTGCCGTTTGGAAATCTTTTCACAGCCTAAACAATTGCTTATAGATATCTAAGTGGGGAAACTTTCATTACAGTACATCAGCCAGGCATTTTCAAAAGAGGAGTCTTATACAACTTTTCAACAGAAATTGCTGCCTCTTGACCCATGACTGCCTATAGTTTAACTTTTCTACACGGATACACTCATGCCAGGCAGGCAAAGAGGTAAATATCATAGAGGATTGAAGAAATGGTGGTGGTGGGGTTGGTGGGGGAAGAGAACTTGGCCAGGGGGGTTACAGGTTGCTACTGCCTGGATTTTGGAAAAGGTAGTTGTGTGTTAAAAATGAGATGACATCAGTTCCAAAAATTTGCAAACTGCCTGAAACATTGAGAAGCTCCATTAGAACATATGCACCACGTAACACAGAAGTCAACCTCTGGACGAGCTGAGAGTCACCATCTCAGTTCAGCCAGGCCACTGTGTGTGTCCCAGTCACCCCATCCTCTCTGTTTTGCTTCTTATCTCTGGGGATGTTGGCTGGCTTGAGTCCTAGAGGCAGAAGAACATGCTAAAGCTTTTACTAGAAAGGCACTCAGAAAAAAACCTAGCACCTTATGTCCCAAAGCCTGCTGTGCCTACAAATGTGACAGATCAATTCCCTTGGAATAACATCTGGGAAGGAATAAAGATATTTAAGTCCAAATTCCATAAAATTATGGCACAAATTGATTGAATTGATCAAAATCTCAAATTCATAAATTTACAGGAAGTCATCCCTGGAAAGACCCTTCTCTGAAGTCTAGATACATAATAGATCATGAGTCTCAGATATGGGGTGATATAGCCAATCAAGGTCCACAGCTTGTTAACAATTAGGTTGGAAGAAAGATTCAGGGTTCCTAACTCCCGGATTATGGATTGATTTATAATCAAAAGTATTTTTAAGCTATTCTGTTTTTACTGTATGAATAATTGTGACTGTTTTCCTGTATCATATCATGCTTTGTTTGCCTATTTCAACTTTCATCAGAAAGGGATCAAAAGCGGAGAAGAAGAACAGGTTTGCAAGTCAATATTCAAGATACGTATCAGTCCATAGGACAGTGACAAGATAACTATGGTGAGAAGATAAGATTGATGACAATGAACCATTCCTCAACACAGGAGATCATCTTTGTGGGTTTATTCTGTGTAATATAACTTATAAATCTATATTACATATTTTTCTTTTCCATTTGATCCCCTCTTCTAAACTCTGGTCTTGGACATATATGCTGTTTTTCATTTTGTGTTTTGGTGGACAATTTTGGAAGGTCAATTTGCAGCAAGTGTTGCTACTTCTCCTTATGCCTGTGACAGAAATGACCAACCAGGCTCAGCATCACTTTCAGTGGGATCATGCATTCCTTCATCCATTGCTTATTCAATTCATTCCTGTCCTTCCATGAATACTTTTTGAATGCTTACTAAAGTACTTCAGAATATCAGTCTTAGCCCTGGACATTCTTGGTCTAACATACTGTTTGGAACATAAATATTGGTTTTATAAATGAGTGACCAAATCCATTTTATCTGTTGATTTCTTTGTAATTATAATAAACATAACATAAAAATGACCATTGAAACCATTTGAAGTGCATAGTTTAGTATCATTAAGTATACTCACACTGCTTTGTAACTAATCTTCAGAACTCTTTTCATCCCAAACTGAAATTCTGTCCCCATTAAACAGCTCCCCATTCTCCCCACACACAGTGCCTGACCGCCACCACTCGACTTTCTGTCTTTATGAATCTGACTATCCTGGGCACCTCATATAAGTGGAATCATACAGTGTTTGCCTTTTTATTGACTGGCTTCTTTCACTCACCGTAATGCTCATAAGGTCCATCCGTGTTGTAGCATGGGTCAGAATTCCCCTCTTTTTTGAGGCTGAATAATATTCCATTATATGCATATACCACATTTTGTTTATCTATTCACCTGTTGATGGCTACTTGGGTTGCCTCTGAATGAATAATGCTGTCATGAATAATGCTGCTGTGAACATAGGTATACAAACACCTCTTTGAGAACCAGCTTTTAATTCCTTTGGGTACATACCCAGAAGTAGAATTGCTGGATCACCTGGTAATTCTGTTCGCGGTTTTTTGAGAAACCATCATACTGTTTTCTGTAGCAACTGCACTGTTTTACATTCCCACCAACACTGTACCAAAACTTGTTATTTTCTGCTTTTTTTTTTTTTTTTTTTTTTTTAAGACTAGCCTTCCTGACGGGTATGATGTGGTATCTTGCAGTTTTGATTTGCATTCATTTATGGTTTTGATTGATTCCCTAATTCAAATTAGTTTTATTTTTAAAGGTGTTTTATTCTACTCTCTAGTGAAAAATGAGATTTATAACTTACACTTCTCCACTCAAGATTTGCATTCTTTGCTTTATTTTATTTTTGTAATGGAACACACATGCTTTCTCTCTCCTACATACATATTTTTGCCTAACAATATTCTTTGCATAGAGAAAAATCAAGTCAATGACAGATACGACACACAAGTACTTTTAAGAAGTGTTGTAAGGAGTAACTATCCTGGATACCTGAATCACAAGCATAAATCAGCTCCCCTGTGACACGTTAGGGAATATGAATACTTTCCATGGCTAGAGGAGGGACTAACATAATCAGTCTACTTTAGGTCATCCTTGGTAGCTAGGGTGAAGTATATGATCAATTACTGAAAATCAGTGGATGAATCCTGTTTCGCTATGTCTTTAAACTCTTTTTTCTTCACTGATGCTTTTCCAAACTAGTCTCTTCTCAGGTTGCAAAGATAAATGATTTGCATTTTATATTTTTCCTATTTTCCCTACTTATCCTCAGAAGGAGACGTGATGAAGAAGTGAGAGTGTTAGCAGTGAAATAATTCTTAACAGAGTTAATAAAATGAGAGAGGACGGACAAAAATCCCTGAGTACCCCATTATTGAGATGTTTACCTTCTGCATACTCTGGGGTGGAGGCTATCATGTGCTCATGGGGATATGCAAATATTTGTAAAATGCAGGAGAATAAGTCCTTCAGTACCCCAGGGATCTGGGTCAAAATATCAGAATTTCCTTCTAACTCCTGCAAAACAAACAAACAAACAAACAAACAAACAACCCTCTTTGATCTCAATAAAATTTCCAGGAGGGCGCAGAATTACTTAGTCCTACTTGATTAATTCTATCCTATCTAGAGCATTCCTTCACACCTCATTCCCTGAAAGATCCCAGGGAAGGAAGTCACAACACTGCATTTTATTCCCAACCAGTTATGACTCTGTGCACAGTTCACGGCCTCATTTGTACATTAAGACATCCACATCTCTGGATTCTAAAGGCTAGCCACTCCCTACATGGAAATTCTATAATTCTGCTTCTCTTGATTACTTTGCACAAACAGCAATGCAAATTCTGGACCTGAGAGACAAAAATACAAAACAGAGCCCCTAGAACAAAGCATTCTTTATCTTTGAAGGCAACTCAGGTGCTCTCATGGGTATTTCCATTTTCACTGTATCTATTGTTTCCATTTCATCATCTGGATCTCGAACTTCTCAGAGATAGAACCTTCTGTCCACTCACAGTATTTAGTAAAGCACAGAGATGCAGCTTCCATCACTGGGTTCTGTCATAGACAGGATTGTCAGACAAAAATACAGGATTCCCAATTACATTTGAGTTTCAGACAAATGACAAGTGATTTTTTTTAGCATAAGCATAGCCCATGCAATATTTGAGACATACTCACACTCAGTAATTATTTATTGCTTATCTGAAATTCAAATTTAACTGGATGTCCTGTATTTTTATTTGATAAATCCCAGAACCTTAGTCATAAACCATTGTGTCTGAGACCATGAGTCATGGACAGTGGTATACGTGAATTTGAAGTCCATCTTGACCACAGCTAGATGAATAACTAAGCAGGTTACACAGCCTCCATGATCCTTGATTTCCTCATCAGCTGAATGTGAATAATATTCAAAGGAGAGCCATACCAAGAGAAATGGGCATCCAGGAAAAACTAAGGATTGTTTTTTTTTTGCCCCATCCAATCACTATTAGTTAAATATTGGCATATATTTATTTAGTGAAAATAGGAATAATATATTAGAAATCAACCCTCTTATGGTTTGATTACTCTGGCATTTGTTTGGCTCTACAGCCCCTTTATCTGACTCTATTCCTAGTCCTGCTGTAAGGATTAATATCAGAGATTTGAAGTCTTAGTACAGCTCCTGGCAGAGAGTATACGCTCATTGGATATAGATAATATTATTGTTATTCTTAAAAGATCTATGTCTGAGTAACCCACTCATGAAGATGATCTTTGGACATGGCTTCACAAGCATCTTTTAATCACAGCTTCAGACCTGAGAGATAATCTGGTCTAATTTTATCATTTTGCAGATAAGGAAACTGAGGCCTTGGGAGAGAAAGGAATTTACTCAGAGTCCTCTAGGCAGGTGGGGACACAGCCTGGGAGGCTCAGGACTCTTTGCTGCTATATTACTTTGCAGAGAAGTCCACCAACACTCCGGATACCTAGATGGCTGCTGACCAAATCCAGTAAAGACTGACCCCTACAAAGCAAAAATGACAGGCACATTTAAGCACATGTGCAAATATTAGCTTTACCATTATGAAAGTTTATGGGAACACAGGAATCTTGCTATCACCATTGGACACTTAAAACATCGGTATCCAGCTGGGCGCGGTGGCTCATGCCTGTAATCCCAGCACTTTGGGAGGCCGAGGTGGACAGATCACAAGGTCAGGAAATCAAGACCAGCCTGGCTAACACAGTGAAACCCCGTCTCTACTAAAAAATACAAAAAATTAGCTGGGCTTGGTGGCGGGCGCCTGTAGTGCCAGCTACTTGGGAGGCTGAGGCAGGAGAATGGTGTGAACCTGGGAGGCGGAGCTTGCAGTGAGTCGAGATCGCGCCACTGCACTCCAGCCTGGGTGACAGAGCGAGACTCCGTCTCAAAAACAAAACACAAAAAACAAAAAACAAAAAAACAACAACAAAAAAAATCGGTATCCTTCCCTCCAAAACCCCACTCAAATCAGACAGGGAGGCTGGAGCTCAGGATCCTACCATAGTCATCTCCAAATAAACATCAATTTCCGATTGTGAAACAGCCCCAATGAGTTTCCAAGTATCTTTGGAAACTATTAAGACGCTTGTGTAGATTATAATTACAAACGCTTATTAAAACAGTATGCCCCGGGAAACAGAGAGGACAAACAATGACAAACACAAAGGTCACTGCCTGATGAAATATTTCCATTAGGTGGCCCAGGTCCATGTTCTTTTCCTGATTTTCCTTCTTAATCAGAGGCTCAAAGAGGTGTCGATGAGTGCTGGAGAGTTAACGTTCCATGAGAATTGAAAGCTTCAACTTAACAATTCATTGTTCTAAATATGTTCTTATGTTTTTTGGCAGCTTGAATGTGCAAGCGCATATCTGAGCTGACCTCTGGCTGCAATTCACGCACAGTCTGTGCAGCAACAGAGACTAAATATTTCTGACATTGCTTAAGAAAGGAGTCACTTTAAGTGGGTTTACACTTTGTATTCTTACCAAAAGTATGGTTCAACATTAATAGGGTTAAAGCTCCAGTTAGAGAATGTGCATAACTATTATCCAAGAGCCATGGGGGCAGGGAAAGGGGAAAATCTCAGATGAGCACTGAAGGATGGTTTGACAAGGATCTCAAACATCCTTAAGTTTTACTTCATTTTATTCTTTTCTCTGCAGAGTCTTGGTTGAAGATGTCAGGTTCCAGATATGCATTTGAATTTGGGGGGTTTTGTGGATAAAACTGAGAGGTGAGAGGTACTGTGAGATGAGACAAATGGAAAATTCTAGGAAACCCTGTTTTTGTTGGCCAAATAAATAAATACATTTTGAAAATCACACACTATTAATAACATTCTTGGGTATGGCTGGCTCAGACAACACAGCTCATTATTTGGAAGAGAAAACAAAAGGCTTTCGTAAAGTTCTTGCATAGATTTTAATATACCAGACTTTCTATTTTTAAACTTTAATGGCTAAAATTTGTTGTATAATAGAAACAAATTCCAAATGGTATTAGAAGGGAAAATGAACTTTTATCTCTCAGTTGCAGCTAGCTTTGATTCTATCTTCTGTAAAACAAACATCTCTCTCTCTCTCTCTTATCTATCATCTATTTATCTATGTATCTATGTATCTATGTATCTATCTATCTATCTATCATCTGCTAGATCTATCTATCCATTCATCCATTCAGCTATCTACCCATCTATCCACACGTACACACACACACGATCTGAAATAAGCATACATACTTAAACATTAATGGTGTGTTTGAACAAGTTTTATGCTTTTTCTCATATATAAAATGGGTATAAGAATAATACTTGCTTTACAGGGTCGTTGCAAGAATTAAATAAGCTCATAGATGTCAAATGTTTAGAACATTGTTTGGCTTGCAATGATTAAATAGCAGGTGAGATCCATACTTATAAAAATTTATTAATACGATTATCTCTGCCGCATTTAGGTTAGTATTTTTAAATGAATAAAAATTATGTTGATGTTTTTTACATTTAACATAATTCAGCCATTCTATTTTTTTTTGTGCATAAGAAAACATGCATACACAGATACACATACAGACACAGCTCAGATAACAAAAGCCCTTATGTTATTTCTGTCACCTACAGTTTAGAAAGCATTGTATGCCAGTTTGAGGGAATCCTTGAACTTGAAAGGTCACACAGTGTGTTAAGGAATAGCCATTCCTACAGCCAGATCCCAATTTCCATTCCTGCGAGTGCCCAGATCTTTACTCTCAGCTCATCCCACAACCCTGGGAACGCCTGCAAATGCAGACCCAGCAACCAAGATGCTGTGAGACAATGTTCAGATACGGAATTTTTACTTAATTAATATGTGATATTCAACTACAGACTCACTATGAATTTATATTTATAACTAGAGCACTAGAAGGTACAGGCCATACCTATATTTTTTCTGTTTCTTTCTATGCACATAAAAAGCTTTAAAAAGTCCTTTCTAATTGTGATTTTTTAAAAAAGAAAACTACAGAAGAATTAAATTACATATGCCATTTTAAGGGTCTTTTTTGCTCCATTTCAAGAAAATATTTTATTCTCAATAACCCACATATATCTAAACACTTAATAAAGTAAGTAAACTATTTCTAAAAAATCGATTTTGGATTTATCTAATGAATTTAACCTTGCCTCACAAATGAAAATTTTAGATCTGTACAGAAATGGTCTTTATAAGTAGATTCTTTGGAATGCATTAGTCCTGGGTAAGCTATTAGGGCCAGCCAGCTGCTTTCCAAGCAAGACAAGAAATATAAAATCTATAATAAGTAAATAATCCAATTTTCTTTACTCCAAATGACTAGGTTTTGAAACTTGTTCAAAAACATGTTCTCTCTCTCCTTCTCCCCCTTCCTCTTTCTCTCTCTTTCTGACATATGAAAAGAAAGGAAGCAAAGAACCTCAGTAGGAGAA
Source organism: Homo sapiens (assembly GCF_000001405.40). Lineage (NCBI taxonomy): Eukaryota > Metazoa > Chordata > Mammalia > Primates > Hominidae > Homo > Homo sapiens. The sequence continues at coordinate 10,822,672 of NC_000010.11, read as the reverse complement.
AAACAGTGAAACAGTAAATCAGGTCTATATATTAAAAGCACAGGTAGTTAATCGCTTAAAAAGACATCTTTTCCCCAGAGGTTCTTCAAACTGAAGGTTGAACTTCTGGCTGAACACATATAATTAATCTGTGGAATGCAATCCAAGGGGTTTTGAGGGCATTTTATTTTGAGTAAAAATAATATCATGCCTCAACTAGTGAAGCAGCTTTGCCAACTTATAAACACATGACTGCATATGCATTACTATTATTTCTTCTAAGCACTGTTTATGTAACTCCTCTCCTTGAGGCAAGGAAATCTCTTCCTTTACTGCAGAATTTGCCTCTGAGATAGTCAAGAGGCAATGACTTCCTGTCTATTAATACATTTGTACAGAAGCAAAGGAAGGCAGAAACAAACAGCCAGACAGCAGCTAAAGTCACAGGGCGGCATGGCCCCTGTAGGCCGGTCCCCTTCCAGGCTCTGGGGATGCAGAGGTGGTGACATCCAGTCCAGAGCATATTGCATCGCAGCTGCAGAGGAAACACAGGCTCTAGAACAAGCAACCACAGCACAACGTGGTACCTGCCAGGCGGCCACATCAACAGGTGGTTGTGAGAGAATAGAAAGGGAAGGAGTGGCTGCATTGTGTGTAGTCTGTGTGCCAGCTCAAAACATCCACTTCCTGTTGGCCACCGATGCCCCAAGGCTTCTCAGCAGGGGAGAAATAAAATCATCCTTGTCTTTTAATAAAGTAATCCCCAGCAGGGCATGGTGGCTCCCAGCACTTTGGGAGGCCGAGGCAGGAGGATTGCTTGAGCCCAGGAATTCGAGACCAGCCTGGGCCAAAAAGCAAGACCTCATTTCTACAAAAAATTTAAAAAATTAGCTGGGCATCGTGCATCACCACATACTCCCACCTATTCAGGAGGCTGAGGCAAGAGGATTGCTTGAGTCCAGGAGCTTGAGGCTGCAGTGAGCTATGATCGCGCCACTCCAGCCCGGGCAACAGAGCAAGACATGATCCTTAAAAAAACAAAAAACCAAGGAAACCCCTGCAGCAACTGTGGTAAGCCCTGGAGCTGGAAGAGAGAGTCAGGAAGCCCTGTTAGAGGCTTTCAGGACATTTCAGTAGAATGATGGAGGCCTCAAGTCAGGCGGAAGCAGGAAGACAAGAAGGACTTTAACCCTGGAGGGGGCTTCCAAGGAGAACATGAAATAACTTAATGATAATTAAATACACATGGCAGGGAGAGGCAATGACCCACTGGTGACTTCAAACCTCTGTCCCTGGTACTCTCGCCTTTCCATGCCAAGAACCAATGGCTCGGCTCCGTGCCTGCCCACACACATGCACCCAGCATCCACGTGTGCCTTCAGTGGCCAACTCTACACAAGTGAGGTCTAGAAAGATTTCTCCAGCCATTCCCTTGGAATTCCAGAGCCAGACAGTCACCTGGAAGCTCTCTCTTTGGCATATTAGAGGTACCTTGGACGCTAGATGTCCAAAGTCAACCCCAAACCTGGTTGCCTGGCAGGATTCAATCTACATAAATGATACCCCCACCCATACCAGAAACCTCGGCAGCTTGCTGGACACTTTCTTTTCCTTCAGCCCCACAACCAATGTCACTCCAATCCCTTATGTTTGACTTCCTTGAAATCATTTGAATCTATCCACTTTTCTCTAGCCTCATTGCTCTTGTCACAACCCAAACTACTGTCATCTCTGGCCGGGATATCTACAATAACCCCCAGAATGCTCTCCGAGATTCACTCTGGTTCCCTTCAAATGCATCCTCTCCACCATTCTCAGAATGAACTTGTAGAAATGCAAATCTCTTAGTGGTGCTCTGTTTGAAGGTGTAAATGGTTTCCATTGCTCTTACAATGAGAGAACAAAATCTTCAATGCGGCCTTGAATGTGGCTTAACCCTCATTCCTGTCCTCGCTGGTTGACTCCCATATGGTGTTCTGATCTCAGTGTGAGTAACGATTCCTCAGGAACTCCTTTCTTGATTTCCCTAACTGAGTGAGAGATCTGTGTGTCACCCTCACAACACTCTGTACCTCTCTGTCCACCCCTTAGTGCAGGTGTGATTTTGTATTTATTTTGTGTTATCTCACTACTGTTTTTCTGACTAGGCAGTAAATTCCATGAGGCAGGGGCCATGTCTGTTTATACTCACCAATGAATTCTCCTCCTGGCACATATTAGATACTCAATAAATATTTGAATAAAAACAGATGGAATAAGTCCATGGTTTCTAACATGGAAGAATGGGGAGATGGTGGAAGTCATTGATCAAAGTTGAGAAGAGTTGGACAATGCAGAGAGTTGGAGCAATGAATTCTGTGCAGGACAAGTTACAGATTTTTCCCTTTTTAAATGATTTCTACAGGATACCCACAGAAAAGAGTACTAATATTAGTTCATTTTAATGCTGCTGATAAAGACGTACCCGAAACTGAGAACAAAAAGAGGTTTAATTGGACTTAGAGTTCCACATGGCTGGCGAGGCTTCAGAATCATGGCGGGAGGCGAAAGGCACTTCTTACATGGTGGTGGCAAGAGAAAAATGAGGAAGAAGCAAAAGCGGAAACCCTCTATAAACCCATCAGATTCCATGAGACTTATTTGCTATCACAAGAATAGCACAGGAAAGACAGGTCCCCATGATTCATTTACCTCCCCCTGGGTCCCTCCCACAACACACGGGAACTGTGGGAGATAAATTCAAATTGAGATTTGGTGGGGACAAAGCCAAACAGTATCAGGTACAGAGAAGGGATGCAAGCTCAAATGCCCATAGGGACCACCCAGATAACATACAATAAGGGAGGCCATGAAACTGTAAAGTCTGAGACAGTTGACAATGGGTGGGAACTGAAGGTGCATGAAAAATCAGACCCAACCTAAGACATTCTATTAGCAAAACAAAACACTTCTGCAAGCTCCAGTCAGCCCTCTTGGAGAGCTGCTTGACATCTTGGAGAGCAGAGGAAAAGAAGGTCAAAGATAAAGGCCTAGGTATGCAGAGGGGGAGGTGGCAGAGGGGAAGGAGGAGTGAGCACAGATGCAGGAGAGAACCAGTGGATGTTCTCTCTCCAGTCTCGTGGAAGCCATGAGAGCAAACTTCTCAAAGAGAAAGGGGTGAGTCAACAACGTTAATGCTTTGAGAGTTCCAGAACAATGAGGGTTAAAAGTGGGCCACTGGATCTGGTTATTAAGATTTGGCATTGGTAACCCTGGCAAAAACAGTTTCACGCTAAACTCATGCTAAAATTCGTGGTTTCTGGCTCTAAAGCTAGGCTGATTTCAGCACTTCCTCTTCAAATAGGGTTATCCCAGAGCGCTGCGTCTGACCTTAGTTGACTCAGGTTCCCTTTCGATCAACATCAGTATCTCACATTCCCCTTAAATGTTATCTTTTTAATTAAAATAAAATTAAAATGTAACTAAAACCCCATTAAAGCAAGGATAACTTTGTATATGCTTTATAGTTTCATAATTCAAATACCCAACACCTTGAGAGGTATACTGAACAGCTATCATTCCCATGTTAGAGATGAGAATACAGAAACTCAGGGAGGTCAAGAATTTACCCAGAATTAATAACCAGGTAAATGCAATCACTATCAGCCCAAGTCTGGGCTCATCCCATGTCTGTGCCAAGTGCTTCCTGGTTAGTCTACTTGGTGAGATACTATTAAGTTTCAGTTGACTGTACCTCTACCACAGGACACACACACCCAAGAAGCCCAGGTAAGAGTGGCTCAGACATTCAACTTTCTGAAGGAAATATGCCACGCTGTCTGGGCATGGTGGCTCATGCCTGTAATCCCAACATTTTGGGAGGCCGAGGCAGGCAGATTACTCGAGGTTAGGAGGTCGAGACCAGCCTGGTCAACATGGGGAAACCCCATCTCTACTAAAAAACACAAAAATTGGCCAGGCATGATGGCAGCTATCCCATGGCATAACCCCATGATGGCAGTAATCCCAGCTACTCAGGAGGCTGAGGCATGAGAATCACTTGAACCTGGGAGGTGGAGGCTGCAGTGAGTTGAGATCGCGCCACTGCACTCCAGCCTGGGCGACAGACAGTGAGACTCTGTCTCAAGAAAAAAAAAAAAAAAAAAAAGGAAATATTTAATGCTGCTTGTTGGAACCACTGAAGGCTGAGAGCTTTGGCCCCCAGAAATGAAGCTGTCTTTTTCCTTATCAGCTTCTGTAAGTAAGGTCATACAACTGGGATCTGAAACTATGATCACTTCTCTAATGGAAGCAGAACGTCATCTAATGAGAAAAACCTTTCTTTTGGATTTACTACTTCAGTGGCTAGACAGCTGGATCTGCTTGGGTCCTCTGCTTTTGGAGTCTGGTGCATGTGACTGATACACTCATGCTGGCCACAGAGCTGTCTTTTCCTGGCAGAACAGATGGGTGGATCACCAGAGGAGTTCCTGGAGGCCTTGTGAATGCGTATTAACACAAAACCAGTGGCATATAGTACCTCTTAAAGATTATAGCCCCAAAATATAGTTTCTGAATAGATGCTGCCTAGACAATTTTATTGACCCCAATGAAATACCCTTGGTGATCAGAAATATTTGGCTTTATGTACAAGTGATATTAGCGGCAACATCAGTTTGTTTAATGAGTGGGTGGGTGAGTACCATGTGCTAGGTGCTTTGTAAGGTCGGCTACCTCAGAGATTCAATACTTACCTAAGGTCCTACAGTTATGAAGTGGCAGACTGGATTTGAATTCAGGTCTATTTTGCACAAAAGTCTACTGTCTTACTATACACTGGGCCTCAAACACAAATTAAATCAAGCAATAGTAGTAAGGGAGCAAAAGTTCAGTAACCTTATTACTTTACGACATAATGATGTTATTGCTTCTATGTTTGTTGCAACACTGTTTACAATAGCTAAGATTTGGAAGCCACCTAACTGTTCATCAGCCAATGAATGGATAAAGAAAATGTGGTACGTATACACAATGGAGTACTATTCAGCCATAAAAAATGAGATCGAGTCGTTTGCAACAACATAGATGGAACTGGAGATCATTATGTTAAATGAAGTAAGCCAGGCACAGGAAGACAAACACTGTATATTCTCACTTACTGGTGGGATCTAAAAATCAAAACAATTGAACTCATGGACATAGAGAGTAGAAGGATGGTTACCAGAGGCTGGGAAGCGTAATGCGGGGGTTGGGGGAAGCTGGGGATGGTTAATGTTACCAAAAAATAGTCAGAAAGAATGAATAAGACCTACTATTTGGTAGCACAGTGGGAATGACTATAGTCAACAATAACTTAATTGTACGTTTTAAAATAATTTAAAGAGTGCTATTGGCTTGTTTGTAACTCAAAGGATAAATGTTTGAGGGGATGTGATTACACATTGCATGCCTGTATCAAAACATCTCATGTACCTCATAAATATGTACACCCACTATGTACCCACAAAAATTAAAAAAAGGAAAAAAACCCTCATGTTAATGCCCTAAACTTAGCCTAACACAGACAGATGTGTCTATTCCTTTTCTTCTCACTTGGATTCCATGTAAAACATCAGTCCTCTTTGCACACTCTCCCACCGTCCACTGCCCGCCATGTTGGTTCTGTACCATCTGGAAACTTCCAGGCTCAGCTTCCAAGTCAGTTGTTGGAATTGCTGACACCACCTTATCTGACCTATAGGTTCCCAATTTTCTTTTCCAACTTTCAGTAATTTTCTTTCTTAAGGAAGGGCCAGAGTAGTGCATATTTGCATATTTTATCTTTCATATACAAGAGGTTTTCATGTTGAAGACTCCAGTACAGCCTATGGCTACAAGCTGTCTTTTTAAAAGAGTATCTGCTTAACTTTAATCCATTACCTGAACCTGGACCATACTAAACCAAATCGTTACATGGAATCACCTGTGGAGAATTTAATGGCAAAGCAAGGAAGCAAATTAGTACCATATGATTAGCTTGAGTAATACTAAGTTTGTTTATCCAAGGCCCATCTGAAGAATGGATTGCATTTTTAAGATATGACTTGTTTTCCATATCTGCACAGAAGCATGTCTCCAGTTAACTGGACATTTAATTTTCCACGTATTCCTCTTTCTTCTTACAGCTCTATGGCTATTCAGTATGTGCATAATACAGATAAAAATAATTATAGGAAAAGGGACACAGAGAGTGTCACAATTAAACTGTGCATTAGCAAAATACACTCAATATACTTGAAACATCTTGATTGCTGTAATCAGGTAGGTTAGATTTTCAGCAAATACTTTTTTAAACAGAGGTTTATCTGAAGTCAGAAGCAGAAGCCAGCTCCTAGAGTCACCCTATAACACAAAATTACCTGAATGTGCCTTTGATTATTTTTTTAAAAATCAGATATAAAGAGAAATAAGAATGTAAATCAATGGATTTATGAAACACAGGGCCTCTTCAGCCACTTTCCAGGACTGGCTTATTTGTCTCTTGTCTGAACTGTCTTTACTAAAATCTTCTGTGCTTACCAACAACAAATATAGAAACTTATGGTCTCAAGATGTGATTTATACTTTTATGTTACAGGCTGGAGATTAAAGTTTAGACCAAATACAATTGCAGGGGTCAATAAAAGTAAAAGGTCTATGTAGGAGGATGGTGTTACCACAAGTCAAAAAACATTCACTGTTTTCACGAAGATAAAACATCGTCTGCCAAAAAATAAGAAACGATGATCAAAAGGGATTTAGGCCAATTTATGGGGCAAAAAAAAAAAAAAACAACCCAAACCCCAAGCTATGAAATATAGAGTCAAGGACTTACTCTCACTTTCTCTATGGTGTTTGAAGTTTATATGCAAAATGTTTAGCTCTGTTCCCCATCTAACTAACAGGCTGGTTGAGGGTGTTCTGGGTCTGCTCATTTACTGAATGGTGATCCACAGAACGTATGCAAAAGACAAGGAAGCTAATTTCATGGCTACCAAAAAAAAATTAACTAGAGAATTAAAGCTTAATATAGCTTTATCCTCTGGAGAGAGCTGCTTGATTGCAGACAGAGCCTAAAACAAGGATTCCAAAATACAACAAACTAGTTTCATTAGAAAGACTTTGCCCAAGATATGTTCAATAAATGGAAAACCACATTTGCTGCCTGTCTTCTGTAATGAGGGAAGACAGCAGAACAGGGCTAGTCTGGGAACCAGGCAAACAGGTTTTATTCTCTATATTCTCTAACCTAGTTACTAGTTTTTAGGAAACAAAACCCAAGTTCTCAGGAGCTGTTTTTCTCAAACAAACACTCCCCTCTTTCAATGATATAAATAATGACCATTTCCTCCTTTCCTGCAGAAATATTAATTGAGCAAATTGTCCTTTTCTGCCACCATCAGCACAAGGCCAGTTGCCCAAAGGTAAAATCTACCTCTTGCTGTACAAGGGGAGAGAGGGGCAAAGAGGAGCACATCAGTGACACCCTGGGAGAAAACCTGATTAGAATCTGGGCCAGGGCAGGGGCTCCAGAGGGTTTTACACCCACCAGGAAGAAGTCATACATGCAATTAAAGTCTTTAAGATAAATTCTGCCTCAAACTGCTTCCCTCTCCAGTGATCTTCTCAAAGCCCCATTCTTCTATAATTCTCACTCTTTGACAAGGCAGACTGACACTTTCAATTTAGTAATTGAAGGGCAATTGATTGTGAAGTGGTAATTTATTAAGGAAGAGGGGAGAGAGCTATCCTAACCAGGAAGGAACTCAATCCAAGTCAGGTCTTCATGCCCTAGGTGCTCTAGACGGAACCTATGGTGTGTGATTTCAGGCATACTGAAAGCCTCACCAAAATTCGAATTCCTGAGTTCTTCTGTTCCCACCTCCCATCTCATGTTGCATAATTGGAGATAGTTCCTAAAATACAAATCCCCTGACATCATATTACCTGGATTTAACCTCAAGGTAAGCTGTAACTGATTGAGCTCTCTGAAGAGCCTCCCTACAGGAGGAAACTGGAGGGCCATGTTACCTCATTTGGCCCAGGGCCAGCTCAAAATCTTAAATCTCTTCAAAAACAGTGTTCTCATTCTCTAGTGATAGAGATGCATGGCCTGTCATGGAGGGGCCCAAGAGGCACGTGTTGGAAGTGGGAAATGTGGGCTTCTCTGGGATACTACGGCGCTGCTGTGGTTGCCCGAAGGCCTGATCATACATGCATTCAATCTAGCATCCAAGCCATGAGCGAACTTTATTTTTGTTTAAAAATAAAATGTGGGAGGCCACATCCAAAAGAAGAGGTTAGATTTTGTGGCGATGAAGACAGCAATCATGGATACAGACCAAGACAAAGAGAGTCAAGTTCTCTTTCTTCTGAAGTCATCTTCTGGCTCTTTTGGGCAATAAATGATCCCAGCTGCCTTTCTTCCCAGAGTCCTACAGTCCCTTTAGAGCAGCTTTTTTTTTTTTTTTTTTTTTTTTTTAGGACTCTTCTTTCCCTTTCTTCCTTCTCTTGTTCCCATTTCATGATCTGTCCTCCTTCCCCAAAGGGATAAGTGCCTGCTATGGAAGGATGTGGCTCCAGGTCATTGAAATGTATATTTGCTAGAGAGTAGAGGTGCTGAGCCTTCCTTAAAAGACAAAGTGTGCACTGTTGTTTGGCCTCAATATATCCAAAGTGAAAGGAGATCCTGGGTCTGAACAAACCCAGCTCTCTCTCTCTCATCTCTTGTACACTCTTTTTCCCAGGAGCTAAAGCCCAGGACAGCTTAGCTCAGCACACAGTACTGGGGGAAGCAGATTCTCTCTTGCTGCTTCTTGTAGTTCAGTCTCCCTGTTGCTGTCCAAGTTATCGTGGATCTCAAAGGTTCTAAAACTCAATGGAGTTAGCAAACCACGGCCCATGGCCCAAATCCAGCCCAACACCTGTTTTTGTAAAACTGTAAGTTTTATTGGAATACAGCCATTTGGAATAAACTGCTTAAATAGAGTTTAAAGGAAGTTTTGCTGGAATAAACCTTTTAAATAGAGACCATGTGCTTTCATGGAGAAGGGGAAAAGCATCCCAGGTTTGGAGAACTGGATAATGTATGTTATGTTCAATAACGACAATAATAATGGCAGCCAAGGAAGGACACATGCGAAGTCTCAGAGCCGGCATTACATGCCATTTACAAATAACCAACTTCAGTGAGGGCCACATCTTCCCAGTTCACAAAATCTTTCACTTTACCCACCAGGAAATATGATCAAATGTATAAAACTGCCATTTCCACAGCTCTGTAACAATTCTTTCTGACTTGGACATTTGTATCTTTATAAGAATGAAAAACTAGCACAAAACAAAATCAAAATGGAGTTCTACAGCATGGTTAACAGAAACACCTGCACCCTGGATGGATTGCAATCTTCAGCCCTGCAGGACCAGTCATAAAATCGCTAATGTCAGTCTCTGTCAGCAGAACTCATCCCTGAACAGCTGATTTACATTAGAGCTCCAGCTCAGAGACAGCACATCTGAACACAGATCTGTAGTTTCGTCCATCAGCTCTACGGAAGGAGTGGGAATAAAAGAGCCTTGAAAGAAAATGAGGATCAATATAAAGAGAATTGCTGTGCTGTGAGAAAAACTGGGCAGTATAGGAGATGGATTCATGGTATCACTCAGAGGTGGGATTCGGGATCCGATGGGAAGGTACTTCTCTGTTCTATCTTACATCGATCATACAATTTTATAGTTGGGCAATCCTGGTTCAATATCTCATAGTAGAAATGAGGAATATGTGGGTTTCCATCCAAACACTCAGATAAACGCAGTGCCTGATGATATAAGGGATACAGGAGGACACCAGATTGAATCAGACATTGACCCTGCCTATCTTCCAGACATTGACACCCTATTAATGGAATTACTACACAAACACTACAAAGTAGAAAATATGCATTTGCAGATCTGAGGTTTAGATTCAGTGTTATGAACATTCAGAAGAAGAAAATCTTACTTCCACCTGAGGGTGGACAGCCAGGGAGGGGGCTTAGTGAGAAGTTCTCAGGTGAAATTAGAAAGCATGAAACCTGGGTCCTGCATACAGGACCAGGCACTGCTGAGGACACAGTGCTGAACAGACAGTCCCTATCCTCCTAAATAATATGGTGTTTGGGGAACGGAGACTTTTATTTTTACATAGACATGAAGAGATCATCAAGAAATTGATCTCTCAGGTGCCCTCTAACTCTGTTGCACTAAAGTCGAGAGTGGTGGTGATATGGTTTGGCTGTGTCCCCACCCAAATCTCATCTTCAATTGTAGCTTCCATAATTTCCACATGTTGTGGGAAGGACTCAGTGGGAGATAATTGAATCATGGGGGCAGTTTCACCCATACCGTTCTCATGGTAGTGAATAAGTCTCACAAGATCTGATGGTTTGATAAGGGGTTTCCCCTTTTGCTTGGCTTTATTCTCTCGTTTGCCACCATGTAAGACATGCCTTTTGCCTTCTGCCATGATTGTGAGGCCTTCCCAGCCACATGGAACTGTGAGTTCATTAAACCTATTTTTCTTTATAACTCACCCACTCTCGGGTATGTCTTGGTCAGCAACATGAAAATGGACTAATATAGGTGGGAAATACAGCAGCTCTGCATGAGAACAGACAGGACCCTGCATGTGGATTATTATCTTTACTGTGGACTGGACAGCATAGGATCCTAGGATTCTGGGACTTTTAGCCAAAATACATTATTTGGGGAGAGGAGGGGAGATGAGGGGCACATGGTGATTTTCTCTTTCCTAACAACACTCTCTCTGGGACCAAACTCCTTGCAGCCCTCTTCTCAACTAGGCCTCCACCTTGAGCTATAAAAACCACAGACTCAACACAAATGATTTCATCAGTCCCCCATGACACATTTGAAGACGTAGTTTCTAACAGCTCAAGGCCACATCCCCAGGGTGATTCCATTCCCCTTAAAGTGTCTGCCTCAGAAGGCTCCAGGATGCCAAAAGAATTGACCCTGTGTTCCAGCCAATACCTGACACAGGCCCCTGCCCTCCCTTTCTTAGGTCATTGAATACATAGGGCTTATAATGGTGATCCCTTCCTCCATCCCTTTGAGATGTGCATGTACCCCCTGCAACTCAGGAGGGTCTTTCTGAAGAACCTGAAAGCTGTTTCTTTACAATGTAACCACGAGGAAGACCAGGGCCCCTCTCCCCCCATCTCTGTGGGAGAACTGAGTCCTAACATCTACAGGTGGCAGTGTACACACCCAGTTGCCTAATCACATTGCCCACATTTGCAATTTTTCACTTCCTGACTCTATGGCACTCCTGCTTTCTGGCCCTCCACCCCATTCTCCCTTTAAAAAGCCTGGTCATCTCTATAAAGCTGAGCCCTGTTGATGCTGGAAGTGCATCCCTACTGCAATAATTTATTGGTAATTAAAATCTGTCCTGACCACTTAATTTATAAACAAAGAAAACTTTATATTTGACCATTATCTGCTGCTGTGACTCAGATCTGGATCTGCTGCCATGAGATCCTTGAACAGGACAACTCTGCCTGCACAGAGACTTTTGTGTCCTCTGGGTCTTTGGTCGTGAGTCTGACTCTCCTGATCCAAGGCTCCGAACACATGTCTGTAGGAGCACAGCGAGGAGACATTTTGATACTGATGGCTCTGCGCATACTCTCTGAAGCTGGAAGAGAGTCCCAGGCTTCTTTCAAAGGGGACCTTCTGGGTTGCAAGTGTTTCTTCCTGGATCCTTATTCTGAGTGGGGATTCATTCCCTGATGCCTGAGTTGGAAATTATTTTTCTTCCTGCCCATCCCATAGGAACTTCTCAGCCATCTGAAAGCCCCTTTTTGAACTCCTGCTGACTGGAAGCTCCACCACGATGGCACTCACTCTACCCACTTCTTGTTGGCATGACTTGATGAACGATGATTGGGAACTTTAGTGGTTTCTTTGGGAACAGGGTCTCCCTAAACTGGCTCCTCTAAGACCTCTCCCTTCCGTTACCTCCTTCCTCCTTCTGCCGGTCTCCATCTTCCCTTCCACTCCCCTGCATTCTTTGATATGAGCCCCTTAGAGCCGCCCCTGGCTCTTCCTCTTCTCTCTTCCCTCTGCTGGACCCTTCCCTTCCCATTCCAGCCACTCAATTACTGACAGTTACTGGAACCTGAGGCCAGCTGCCCCCATTGGGGGATGCTTAAGGGACTTAGGGATCCCAAAAGCAGCTACCTGAGGCTGCAAAGAAAAACTAATTGGAAACAGATATTTAGTTCACCTCCCCCATGAGATGATCTATCAAGGTAAAAAAATCTTAAAGGCCTCCTCCACAAATATTAGTGGTAAATTTTAGCTCTCACATTCAGCAGGTGAATGTTGGCTACTCCATTTGCCAGAAACACAAATTGGATTAAAAAAATGGAGTAAAGATGAGAACTAACTCTTCCGTACACGATTGTATTTTGTATTATTGTATTTATGCCTGACTCATGGCTAATATTAAAAATGAAAGCCATAGGTTTCTATTTATGTCTATCTGTGTGTTTATGCATGTATGTAAGGTACCTTCCCTCCAGATGGCATTGACAAATTAATTTACAAAATCCTTTAAAAGAGTTCTATCCTAATTGGCTTAGAGGGAAATATGCACTTATGTAAATTAAATCTTTCTAAAACTGTCAGAAATATAGAAACCCACTCAAATGTTTATGTAATTTGAGTAAATTCTTGGTAAGATTAGTTTAATATTGTTGGTTCAATAAAAAAGGTATGTTTTCAGAGTTGTCAACATTAAATATAACGTGAGAATAAATTTTTGTTTTTCTTGAGTTTACCAGTCACATAAACTAATATTTTCTAGATATTTAAGATTATAAAAATGATAATTTGATTTGAAGCAAATTAAATCATTATTTTCACAAACTTCAGTTCAAGAATAATTGTTTCATAATGTTTGCCTAAGAAGAGTTTCCAAAATCTTTTCAGTTACTTGCAAACTTAGAAGTCTGCTAAATTAAATAATGGATATTCATTAAATATCTAAATAATTTTCAAGTAAGTACTAAAGCATCAATTATTAAACGTTAGCTTAAGTTTATATACTTTTGACTTATTGTCGTATGGTATAGAGTGTCTGAAGATTATTAGGTTCTGCTAAGGAAAAGAGAAATTTTGTCCTAAAGTGACTGGTTGTTCCAGAATGAGAAAGATGGAAAGTATAAGATGAAACCCGAATGGATGCAGAAAGTCATAGAAAGTTTAAGGAAAAGAATATTATGTTGTGATTAGTCTGCTCAGATCACCATAATGAAATACCATAGACTGGGTGGCTTAAACAGTACAAGTGCATTTTCTCACAATTCTGGAAGCTAGAAGTCTGAGATCAAAGTCCCAGCATGGTTCTAATGAGGGCTTTCTTCCTGGCTTGCAGACAGCACCTTCTTGCTGTGCCCTTCCATGGTAGAGACAGAGACAGAGAGAAAGAGAGAGAAAGAGGGAGGCAGAGAGAGAGAGAAAGAGTATGCACAAGCACGAGTGAGCTATGGCATCTCTTCTTTTTAAGGATACTAATCCCGTCATGTTGGTTTCACTTCCATAAACTTATCTATACCTAATTATTTCCCCACAGCCTCATCTCCAAATACCACCACATTGGGGGTTAGGGCCTCAACATGTGAATTTTGGGGAGACACATTTCAGTTCACAGTAAATGTCAAGACTTGCTAAGATCAAATGGATTTATGTATAAAATTTTTAAAAATGAGCTTCAATATCAATAGCGTATGGACTCAAACCTAGTTTGGTTTGGTTTTCTCTTTCTGAAAATAAGAATGTTTCTTGAATGAGTGGTATGCTCTTGATAAGAGACTGTAGAAGGTTTTTCTCTACTTTTTAGTAATCTTCCTAGGAGAGAAAGATTCTGCACCTCATAAAAATAATTTTCTGTGTTTCATGTTGTCTTTACCGTGTCTCTGATTAGTTAAGAGAACCATGTCTTCTCACTTTAAAAAGAACTAAGGTTTTTAAAACAATGATCTTACCTCCTGTATTTACTTTTAAATTCTTTCATTGTCACATTGGTTAGATACTTAACTAAGGATTGTTTCGCAGTGACCTGTGATCCTATTTTGTCAAGTAATCGAACCTTTTGACATATTTGACAGCTTTGCCTTCCTAAAATCAAACCCAAATGAAGCCTTCATGATACCAAACTGACTTTGAGATTTCCCAAGGGCCTTTGAAAAATCTCAAAGGGTTTGTTCTTTCACCTGGTTAAAAAAAGAGATGTTAAAATCATTGAATTTACTTGCGAGGTGGAAATTCATGAAAAGCATTATTTAATAAAAAGAAATGTTTAACCTTCCCCAGGTTATATTTGTACAGGTAAATGTGGTATTTCAAAAGTTACACGAAGTTCCTAGAAATTTGTCAATGCCCTTTGTGTCCAGGATCTATCTCAATGCTGTTTTGCCTGATATTAGACAACAATAGTGTGATGTCGTCAGTCATAATTCCAGCAATTATTTTAACATGTTTTATGTCACAGAAACTACCACATTTTCTTGTCGATAGTGTTATTTTTATAATGAATGCCCATCAGATCTTTAACCATGGCCATCTTCAGTATTTTGTCATCCAGAAATAGTGACTGTTTTACTCTGCTCATGCAAACAGCTCAAGCCACAGAACTTTGTCTTTAACAAAAAAGAAGCTGTCTCAGAGACCTATGGAAATAACTGTCTGTGACAGGTACTCTGGGGTGCAAGATTCTGATGTCATTGCTTACATAACCTTGATACCATCCTAATGAACTGAGTCAGGTTTTCCATAACTCTAGCAGAGAAGCTGACAGCTTCATAAAATTGCTAACTCAAGATCAAGCAGAACAAAATTAATTATTTAATATATTGGACTTGGTAAAGTGATAAGGAATGATTATTATGTTTTATGGCTTTTGTTTGGAATATTGCTGGCTCTTTAATACTCTATTTTCTGGATAGCAGAAAATTCCTTTTCCTTTCGTCTTAAGCTATCTGTCATCCAAAAAATCTACTAAATTATACTTTTGTAAACAAAATAGAAACATTTATCTTTTTCTCCCTACCTGATCTCTTCAGAATTCAGAATTTGTTCTTGGGTATTCTTATTTGCATGACAATAGTTATTTGCACAGGTGCAAAAAAAAATCTGTCTCCCTTATAATAGAACATAATTGGAAACATTGGTTTATATGTTCAAGGCTTTGAATGGAATGCCCTATTTGAGAATGACACATAAAATCAGATATGACCAGACATATTTAAGGATCCAAGGTTGACTTTACGGAGTGAAGGTATACAAATCCCTCTTGGAAGAACTAGGCTGATACCTGGCTTACAGGATTTGCAGATGTATAGGTGAGTAAGAATGGTCATGTCCTGGCAAGCCTAAGAACATTAAAATATTTTGGGGACCTCAAAAGAAAAGGAATTTACCCAAAGCTACAGGTATTGAAGGTGAAGTCTGATGGCAAGTTCCTGGCTTGGCTTGCTAGAAAAGCAGAGGCTTTTGAAAGTCCAATAGGAGATTCTTTATTTTCTAGCAAAGCAAACTTAAAAAGGTCTATGTGCTCAATTATTATTTTTGCTGCACTTATATAAATATCATCTGGCCCAGTTTAATGAGACAAGAAACATTTTATAAACAAGAATAGTATTAGTTTATCTTTGATCAAAAAGGGGGGTAACCGTGGACAACAATCTTATGTTTCAATAGAAAACTGCAACACATCCTTGTGGGTGATCAGATTCTAGTCCTGTTCCTTGTTTTGGGGAGTTTATATTATTTACCTGTAAAACCGGACTGGATCCTTCCATCTTACACATATGGTCACCCCTTACCAAATACTCTTCTAGTTTTCTTGAGTGGGTGACTGTAACTCTCCAAAGTTAACGTTTTCACTTTTTCTCCCTTCCACCTGACTTGTCATCAATGAGAACTGAAACCTGATGGCCAAGATCCTTATTGTGACTCAGTGTTGTCTTATAGCTGCTATTTGGCTCCATGATCTGATACAGTCCTGCACACTGAAGCCAGACAAGTGGATCTACATGTCCAGAAAGTCATTACCACAATAAATCATGTAGGAGCAACCATTACACCCAGAGCTGCTGCTACCAGGGCCACTCAGAAAGTCCACTGGAGGCTGGGTGCAGTGGCTCATGCCTGTAATCCCAGGACTTTGGGAGGCCAAGGCAGGCAGATCACAAGGTCAGAGAGATCGAGACCATCCTGGCCAACGTGGTGAAGCCCTGTCTCTACTAAAAATACAGAAATTAGCTGGGTGTGGTGGGACGTGCCTGTAATCCCAGCTACTCAGGAGGCTGAGGCAGGAGAATCGCTTGAACCAGGGAGTAAGAGGTTGCAGTGAACCAAGATCACGCCACTGCACTCCAGCCTGGCTACAGAGTGAGACTCCATCTCAAAAGAAAAAAAAAAAAAAAGAACACTGGAACCCCTGTGTCTCCCATGCTCTGCTCCAGGAAATACCCTTCGTGGTGACATTAATGTCTACACCATGATGACAAAAATCCAAACCGTAAACCAGGAAATCTGTCTGACTGCCATTGCCCTTCTCACTTCACCATCTAAAGATGCTTAGAGCTCAGTGTCCAGAGATCTTCTCAACTGACTGTCCTCTGGCCTCAGACACTGAGTTTACAGTCAGCTCCAACCATTACTTTTCATTTTTCTTTTTGTTTCCATAGAAAGGCCCCTCATTAAATGCCTGATTGCTCCCCCATCTAGCAGATGTCCTCGACTACCGAGTCTCAACAGATGGTTTAGCTGGTCCTTAATGAACACAAGGTGATCAAATGGAAAATGGACTTAGAGTGTTCAAAGCAATGTACACTGTCTCTTTTTTCCTGGAGCAAGAAAAGGACTCCTAAAGACTCTCTCTATGATCAAACTCCAGCCGGGCTCCTCTGAGCTCTTCTCAACTAGGCCTCCACCTTGAGCTATAAAACTTACAAACTCAACAAAAATGATTTCATCCACCCGTCTCCCCCCCTCATTAAAAGACTTGAACAAACACTGACATAGTTTCTAACAGCTCAAGGCCACATCCCTAGGGTGATCCCATTCCATTCCCCTTCAAGTGCCCGCCTCGTAAAGCTCCAGGCTGCCAAAAGAATTGACAATGCATTCCAGCCAACACCTCTTCCTGCAGCTCTGCAAAAAATTTTTAAAAGTACTGAGTCGTAACTGAGTCATGATTCTTCAAATATTCCTAAGGGAAAAGGAAAAATTACGTGGTGCAAAATTTTCCTCTCTGAGGTGTAGTAAAGACAACACACTTTGCCATGCTTGTCAATTTATCAAGAAAAAGTAGTAACTAGATCAGAAAAGTATGTGGTGTCACTGTTTAATTGCTCTAGCTCAGGGTTAGCAATACCCAAGTCCACACTGGGGCTCCACACCTGTTGTATGTGTGTGTTTGGATGAGTGACCGGAACTTTACAAGTATCACTTCCTTCTAAATAAGAGCAAAAGAACCACTACCTACTTCACAGGGCTATTACAAAGATAAAATGAGACATTACATGAAAAGCACTTAGCATAAGGCATGGCATGTAGAAAGCACTGATAATTCTTGTATATTATCATCTAAGAATATAAATTCCTGATCTTCAGATGGCCAGCCTGCTCACAAGGAATACAAGCAGAGCATCCATGCAACCTTTTCTGGCTCTATACATCTTTAAGATGTCATGTGACATGAACCGAAGGGTATCCACACATGACATTCCTCCAAACTTACACAGCGTGCTCTCCTCTGTGAATCTGGGATGCATCTTAGGAGACTTCCCGGCATGTGAAAGAGAAATGTACACTAAATGAGCCAGAGACAGAAATGAAAAAGAAAGCATCAAGGCCAAGCAGTGACTTACAACATTTCGGGGTCTGTTCTATGTTTCCCATCAACGTGTGCTGTTTTCATTAATGGGAGGTTCTCACACACTCCATAAGGGAACACGCAAAAGTGTAGTTCGTTACAGCTTTAAGGCTCATTCAAACATTTAAGGGATGCAGTAAACCATACATTTCCTCCAGACATTCATCATCTTTGTGAGATCAAGTGCTCATAACCTAAAACATCTCTGACCTTTGAAATATCACCAGGGCTCCTCTGAAGTTTTTTCCTAATAACAAGACTAGTTTTTGATATTTGCCTTGTCGTATGAGATTTGAAAGCATCCCTCCAACTATCTGTCAAAGCCACTTCTATTTTCCTGCTAGTCAGATCATTAGTCTAGATCATGGACCAAGTTAGACTATGGGCCCTGGGCCATATCCAGCCCAGTGTTTAAAGACAATCTGTTTAAATAAAGTTTTATTAGGTCACACCCAAGCTGTTTACATACCATCTATGGCTGCTCTCAGGCTAACATAGCAAAGTTGTATAGTTGTGACAGAAACTGTATGGTCAGCAAAACCTGAAATATTCATCATCTGGCCCTTGATGAAGAAATTTGTCAACATCTGTTCCAGATCATTCTCTTGTTTAGAAAGAATAAATTCCACCTCAACACTACATATAGATCAGATTCTCAGAGAGGATTTTAGAATTTTCTACATTACCATATTAGACACTTTTCTGATTGGCACAGAAAAAAGCAACTGAAGATAGAATTACTCAACTAGGTGTTAGGAGTCATTAATTCATCAGTCAATTCATTCATTCCACATAACACAATATCACAGTGCTAAATACTAGGGGTGGGATGTGAATGACATATACAAAGCCCCTGGCCCCATGGAGTGAGTATAAAGTAGGATAAGAGAGACAAAGAGTGACTCCTTCACTCATTCATTCATTCATTCATTGTCGTGTGCTAGGAAATCTTTTAGATATTGGGTATGTAACAGTTAAATACACAAACAGTGCATTCTAATAGGGGAGAGAGATAATCAGTAAACAAATACATATGCAGATGGCAGATACTGGCAATGCTGTGATGAGAATATTAGCTGAACCATACGAAGTGAACATTTTTATAAGTCAATATAGTTGAGTACTGGCTGTTGCCTATGATTCAGTCCATCAGGGAGATGTGCTAGAGGTTGACTTTTGGCTTTAAACTGGGAGGTCAGGGAAGGGCTAACTGAGGAGATGACATGGGAGCTAAGGCTTGAATGAGGAGCAGCCTCTACCCTGCCAATAGCTAAGGAAAGATTGCCAGGCAGGGAGAGGGAGTAGCTAATGAAAATCAAGCCAAAATAGCCTGGCTGCATAACTGAGAAAGAGAAAGACCAGCAGGGCTGGAGCAATGTGAGCTGTGGGGAGAGAGGGAGGAGATTTAGGCAGAGAGGTTCATAAGGGTCAGGCCAGATGGGGCCTTGCAGGTTAAAATAAGGATACTGGCTTTGACTCTAAGAGTAAAGGGCAAGTTTTAGTAGGGAAGTCACAGAATCTGATTTATGGCGTTTGTAATGCTTTCATTCCTCTATGTGCAAAATTGTTTAAGAGAGCAAGAGTGAAGCAGGGAGTCTTGTTAGGAGGTAGCATTCTTAGCAAAATGAGATGTTATCAATGGAAGGTGGAAAAAAGTGGACAGAGTCACTAGGTGCTTAGGAGTCAAACTCAGTAGGAGCTGGCAATAGTTTGGATATAAATTAAGACGGAAAATGGGGGATTAGGGAGACTGCCTAACTTTCCAGTTTGAGTACCTGGCTAGATCACTGTGACTCATGAACCTACTAGAGCTGGAAACCAGTGAGTTCTTGGGGGGACATTATAGATAGAGTTTATAACCTGTTGAGCTTTTGACATCTTTAAGGCATGCAATTGGACTGAGCTGTCTGAAAGCTGAAGGAGAAAGGGAGACAGAAGTGGAGGTGGGGAAGGACATTCCTCAGGAGAGAGGATGGAGTTGGAAGAGGAATTGGCAACAGCTTGCAGTGCTAATGAGTTCTATGACTTCCTTTAGTCAATTCATCTATTCCCTTGTCTCTAAATGGGAGAGTTAAACTTGATTTGGGGTTTTTAATCCTTCCCCAGAGGTGACTTAGGGCTTATGCATGGGTAAAGGAGACACCAGATATTCTGGGTCCCATTCCCTGCTTAATTCTCCTGTCAACTTTTTTTTCTCTCAAGTCTTATCTATAAACATCTCATCTTGTTGCACTCAGCATATGTTCAAGTTTATTTTATTCTTTTTTTGTTTGTTTGTTTGAGACAGAGTCTCGCTCTGTCACCCAGGCTGGAGTGCAGTGGCACGATCTCAGCTCACTGCAACCTCTGCCTCCCAGGTTCAAGCAATTCTCCTGCCTCAGCCTCCTGAGTAGCTGGGACTACAGGTGCGTGGCACCACACCCAGCTAATTTTTGTATTTTTAGTAGGGACAGGGTTTCACCATGTCGGCCCGGATGGTCTCGATCTCTTGACCTCATGATCCGCCTGCCTCGGTGTCCCAAAGTGCTGGGATTAAGGTGTCAGCCACTGTGCCCAGCCTATTTTATTCTTTTAATCATAGGTCTAATACAGTGTCAACTTTTTTCTTCTGTGTACCAAGAATACTTTATTTAGCTTTTGAATTTTTTTCTTTGAATGCAGCTGGAGTGTTTGTACTTTCCGAGGAGTCAAATGGGAGAATGTTGAAAATTATTGGCATGTCTTTTGGTGAAAATTAGGTTTCTTTTATGTCCCTTGGGGTAGACAGTCATTAAAACACAGGCAGTAGCACTACGACCACCCCTGGTTTCTCCATGTAACAAAATGGAACAAGGATGGAGCGATTTCAAATAGACAGTTCTTGAGAAAGGCTTATAACCTGAAATTGTGCACTGCAAACAGATCATCTCCTAAAACACTATATTGTGGCATAAGCAGGTTTTAAAATTGTGCCTTTTGATGACTTTTTAGGAGCAACAGGTTTGGCAGAACTCTAGACTGAGCTCCTGGACCAAACACATGAGGATCTTCCAGGTTACGTGGGTTTAAAGGCCTTTTTGCCTTGTAATATGCTTTACATATCAAATGTTCTACTCATTTGTTAATCAGATGAGGACAGTAACTGCTCTTTCTCTTTACCAGAATGGGGCCTCTCACGCCATTCTCTGGATTTCTAAAGCATTTTATTGACATAACTCAGATCACAGACAACCCTGCTAACAACCGTGCTATGTGGCGTTAGAGTACACACCTCATTCTCCTGCTAGATCACCCATTTATCAGGCTGTGTTTTATCTTTGCTTCTTCCACATATTATAGGCAGAGACTTATTGGTGGCAAGTAAACCGTTAAATGAAGCAAAATTAGCCAAAAGGATGCCTTGTTGTAAACAATTAAGGAATTTAAAATGCAATTTATAAACTCTATCCCTTTATGGTTCCTGACCTCAGAAAAGGATTACACACAGTTAAAAAGCCAGTGGAATAATGCTTGCCAAGAAGAGGTGTGGACAGAATGAACTTGGTGTAGCCAAAGGAGTCAATGTAAAAATGTTTCTCTTTCCCAGGTCTTGCCAGTCCAAGTTTCTGAAACTTCACTTACTCTAGCAAAACTAAGCTTCACTTAAATTTGGGGCATGTTTAGGGGAAAAACAACATTCTCACTGTTTTTTTTTTAAAAACGGGTTAAGACTTGAGATCATTATCTAAAAATGCCTTTGGGGGCGATACATGTTTCAAAATCTATAACCGTAGTCATATACATTCTTAGAGCTACAGCCTGCCTTATCCACTGATGTAATAATAGTAAGTTAATCGCCTGAGAAAAATTGTTTGAAAGCACTTGTAGGAAGTGTTTCAGTTTTAGAGACAGGTTAGTAATCCAGTTTAAAAAAAAAGGAAAGCATCATTTATTCTAATAGATGTATCCTAAGAACATTTAAAGAAGCACTTTACCATTTTTCGATAGTTAAAAATAAAGTTTAAACATGCAACAGAAAAAAAATCACTGAAGGACTCATGAAAATGTAGCTTTCATCAAGAAATCCTGGTAATTATTTAACGAAAGTAAAAAGCCAGGTACACAAAGATGTTCATTATGTTGTTGTTAGTACAAATTAAGGAGTGGAAACAATCTAAATTTTCAACAAAGAGGGTGTATCACCTGAGGTCAGGAGTTCGAGACCAGTCTGGGAAACATGGTGAAACTCTGTCTCTACTAAAAATAGAAAAAATTAGCCAGGTATGGTGGTAGGCACCTGTAATCCCAGCTATCTGGGAGGCTGAGGCAGAAGAATTGCTTGAACCCGGGAGGTGGAGGTTGCAGTGAGCAGAGATCATGCCACTGCACTCCAGCCTGGGCAACAAGAGTGAAACTGCATCTCAAAAAAAAAATGTACATTAATATTACGGTGCTTTATTTAGCCATTAAAATGGCGGTTATGAAAGTTAGGCAGAAACATGAAAACACGTTTGATATGTTAGCTGGAAACAGCAGATTATAAAATAGCACATACTACCTGATGTGCAAAAAGCATCCGTGGAAAGTTCTAGAATATGACATGCAGTACTTTTTAAAAAGAAAATAATTAAGATGGGTATTGGCAATTTTTAAATTTGCTCTTTTCTATAATCTTGTTCTTAAAAATAACAAAATCAGACAAACATGAAGACAGAGTCATGAATAGGAAATAAAAACTTAGCAAATTAATACAACACAAATGTCAGGAAAAAGAAGTTCCAGTAACGTCCGCACATTTCTCCTCATTTGTATTTCCTGTTTGGGTTCTGGTCTAGCTCCTATGAAGCCATGTTTTGGGGAAGGTATTTGGAAGACATGACACTGTGCAGAACCACTTTTAACAAAAATCCCTCAATTGAACATTTTCATATTTCAAAAATTGCCAAAAACGCATTTGCTAGGAAATACCATTTACAGTCAGTGAAGCCCAAGAATTAACTCTGCCAAGGTAGTCAGCTTAGACAGGATGCATGAACTCTGCCCTTTCTAGCTCCTTGTGTTCTAATTTTTCTGGGCCTCTGAGAGATGAGGAGGTCAGAGTGCACTTTTTTAGGAGCATTCAGAGAAAGACTTTATGTCATACATTCTGCCCATTCAGTTTCACCATAAGCTGAGGCCTGGGGGTGGGGGTGGGGGTAGGGGAGAGGTCAGAGGAGGAAACCAAGTTTCCCTTGACCCTTCAAGGGCCCTAATAAGGCTTTCTGGAAAAGTTCGCTTTTCCTTTCTTTACTCTTTTTTTAAATTTTTTGAGATGGATTCTTACTCTGTTGCACAGGCTGGAGTGCACTGGTGTGATCTCTGCTCACTGCAACCTCCACCTCCTAAGTTTAAGCGATTTTTCTGACTCAGCCTCCCAAGTAGCAGGGACTACAGGCACCCACCACCACACCTGGCTAATTTCTGTATTTTTAGTAGAGACAGGGGTGGTTTTGCCATGTTGGCCAGGCTGGTCTCGAACTCCTGACCTCAAAGGGATCCATCCACCTTGGCGTCCCAAAGTGCGGGATTATAGATGTGAGCCTCCGCACCTGGCCAAATTTCGCTCTTCTATCTGAAGTCCCAGAAAGTTGACCACATTCCACCTCACACCTTTAATGCCCCCCTGAAGCCCAAAAATTCAATATGAGGATTCCTTCCAGCGAGTCAGCTGGTGTCATTTAAATAAGACTGTCCTCCCTCATTGCCAAGGCTTCCCGACCTCCCCCCTGGGGTGAAATTGGAGGACCTCACGTTCACAGGCCACTCCTTACACCTCTGCCTCCGAACAGTCTTCCCACTAGCAGATCTGCGCATCCCTGAACCCCACAAGGTGCATTTCAAGCAACCCCAACCACTTCTGCACAGGTGTGGGGCGGGAGCAGGGCCTTGGCTATGAACTCAAACCAGGATGCAAGAGAAAGCAAAGCAGGCCTACCTTAAAACTTTCCAGTTTTTCAGAGGATCCAAGTCAGAGACCAAGGAAACCATTGTCTAGGAGCCGGCTGAGGGCGAGTCCGGAGAGGAGGAGGCGGGGATGGGGTGCTGGGGAACAGACGGAGGATTCTGGACCCAGGCCGGGCCCTGGCGCCCCGCGGCTCCCTCCTTCCCGGGCTGACACGCACTTTTCCTGACTTCTCTCCACCCCGCAAATCAATCCTGCGCTCTCCTCCGTCCCACACCCGGCTCCCAGCTCCACACCACCTTTTAAAGCCCCGGTAATCTGCTCCAACTGATCAAATTTGACCTTTTTGTAGCCCACTTTATTCCAAGCACAGCTCTCACTTAAATCTCTCTTTATTAACACCGTCCTCCTTGGCTTTCTTTGGGAACAAACACAGATCAAGCCTGAAGCCTCTGGACTTTACCAGCAATCATTCGCAGATTACTGCAAGCTGCAGCCTTCCCCTCCTTGGGGGTATTTCTCCTGCCTCGGAGATTTTGCTTTTCTTATTCCTGGCAGGAGACTGGTTAGGTTTCTTTCCTCCTTTTTTCGTGGCTTAGGCTCTGGGACTCTGACACTGGGCTTAGAGCTACCCTCAGAGGCTGTAACTACTTTACTGCTGGGATTTGTTTTTTAAAAATAATTTGGAACAGGACTGCAAACAAGCTAGACTTTACTGTGTGTTTTCTGGCAGGGATTTTTTGCTACACTGCTCCCCCACCCTTTGCTGGCTTTCTTGTGTTTTTAAATAACATGAAGGAGGAAATGCAGAATCTCTTTAAACATAAAGAGAAAAGGGTATAGGCTACCCCCTACTCGCCCCCCACCTTGTGTATCTTGTCATTTACTGAAAACCAAACATCCTTCCAATACTCGTTTGAAATTGTGCATGAGAGATGTTTTAAGATATCCAGGCAGTATTGTTTTCCTGTACTGTTTGTTCATAGTTTGTCTCCTTATCCCTTCGCCCCGTATGGGTTCTTCGGGACTGTACTGATTTCTTATTTTCATAAGCACTGCCTCTTAAGCAGAGGCTTCTATGCTTGGAGGGTCCTGGTTTGAACTAAGACCTCCGCAGCTGAAGCTCTTCCTCCTGCCCTCAGGATCCTGGAAGTAGCCGACCTTGAAATCATCTGGTCCAGTGGCTTCCGGACCATGGCTGGCCAGCCCGTCAAGATTTCTGCTGCAGCTGCCTGCAACATGAGCTTTACTTGATAGTCTTTCTTTATATTAAATTCCTCTTTTTCTTACGCTTATTTTTAAAAGGGATTTTTAAAGTCATTCCCATAAATGGAAAATCAGCTTCACTGGTCTTTGGTAGAAGGCAAATGCAGGGAATAACTAAAATAAAACAATTATTATTATGCCCAGACACTGAGACCAGCTAAAGGCTCTGATTTAGGTCTTTTTTTTTTTTCTCTTTGTTGCAAAGAGAGTTTACGCAATGTTAAGAGTGTTAAGAACATACCTGCACCAGCCAGAGACTTCCCTGAGAAGGAAGAGGGAAGACTGAAAGAAAACATATTGTGATTCAGTGCTTTGTCATGTCCTTGTTACTTGAAAGCATCAGCCCGGAGGAAGGGTCCCAACTTCTTCCCTTCAAGCAGAGCCTTCTAAGAAAGAGAATCTCTGTTCTTTCCTGGGGGGAAGATGCTCCCACAGGTTTTGGAAGCAGGCTACTTTTACTGTCAGGAAGTTTTTGCCACTCCAAACGCCTATCCCAGCATTGTAAATCCCTTTCTTACCAGCCTGTTCTCCATGGACCCGTGGATCTTAACATATGCAGCTAACCCTCTGTTTAGATTTGTTTTCTCTTTAGCAGTCATGGATACTTTCCCTAATGGCTGTGAATGACTTTCTTCAGAAGTGCAACTGTCTCTAGACTAAAATTAAAAGAGAATTTCATACCTCGTACAAAAATCATTGCCTTTCTGGGACTTCAAGCTTCTTCCTGGGCTGTGTTATCCCACTGTGAATCTCAGACCACAGCGTAATCATGTGCAAACATTTACATAACACTTTTAATCTCCAAGTACTTCACCAAATGTGGGTGATAATAATAGCTTTTATACGGAGTGTACCTCCAAAGGGTTCCGGGTGCTTTGATAATTAATGAAATGTTTTTCCCTTTAGAAAGTTAGCAAGAGAGTAGCAAAAGATTATAATGAAATAGTGTCCGCAACTATAATGACATCATCCTCATCCTTAGCCCACGGCACCAGGGAGATTCAGGTCTGGGGAAGGGAGGGAAATGAGTTCTTAACACTTAGAGTTCAGGGTTAATGGAGGAAAAGGGTGGGATTTGGCTTTTGGCCAAAGGACAAAAGGACAAACCCATTTTTGTAAATTATGAAATACCATTTTAAAGCAGCTGTCTTTTCAAAAACTTTTTAAAGGTAGTCAGTAGAATGTTCCTTCAAATAAAATCTTGTACCAAGCCCAAGTACAGAAACAGATACAGTAGTAGCTGAAGTGTATTACTAGGTACTAGGAACGGTTCTAATTTCATTAGGTGTGTTGATTCATTCACTCCTCATAACCAACTTGTTTATGAGGTAAGTTATGAGTTGTACTCCCCATTTGTTAATGCAAATGAAGACATTTGGGTGTGGAGAAATTAAGGAACTGGTCTGAGCTCTCAGGGCACTGAACTTAGAAGCGATGCCTGTGGACCTGGCGAGTAACCGCCACACAGCACTTCTTCCATCTGCTTGGGGGCTTTTCAAAAGGGATTTTTAAAGTCATTTCCATAAACGGAAAATCAGCTTCAGTGGTCTTTGGTAGAAGGCAACTGCGGGGAACAACTAAAATATAACAATTATTGTTACGCCCAGACACTGGGGTGGGGATGGGGTTGGGGTTAGGATCAGGATAGGGATGGGTAAGAGGAATCCCTGAGTCTCACCGATTCACTCCTAAGACCCTATAGAGAAACCCTAGAGTTTAGGAGGATAACGTTTGAAACCCACTTCCCAAAAGTATTTAGAGAGGAAGGAGAGAAATTATCTTTTAAAGGATGCATTGAGTCCAAGAAGGGCAGAATATTTTGCCTTTTTCTTAATTTCAAAGTCCAAGTGTGTGTGTGTTTATGTTTACATATACTGGAAATTAATTCCATGCTATCACATACTGCAAATTTCTTTTTCCTTTTCCCTAAGTATTTCATTCCTGATTTCAATGGATCACACCTAATGGATCTGTTTCCTACTAAGAAATAGGCCATCAAGACAATTAATTCATCTTCAACAATGAGGGTGCTTCCTAAACACAAACAAACAGAAATGTTGCCTTGTTCAAAACTGGGCCAACTATTTATCTGTAACACAGAAAGGCAACAGTAAATTTTCTATTTATAAAAATGAGTTAGGTTCAGCCTTAATAAACTTCAGCCCCAAATTAGTTTTCCGTCATGTCACTCTATAAATTGTAAGAGTTCATTCTCTTTGTCTTCTTTTTCACAATTTTGATACATTTACCCCTTTACATAAAAAAAAAATTTTTTTTGGCATTCATAATGATTCTTAAAGAGTCACCTCTCCTGAGAGTTCCCTGTTAAAAAAAAAAAAAAAAAAGTTGAATCCATATAATGCAACATTCGTGATTGTCCTGATAGTACCAGCAACAAGTCTCGTCACTTTCCTTTTCATAGAGCTAACATTTCTGTGATCTCCCTCCCCCTTCCTTTGGTTTCTTCGGTGGAGAAGCCAAAACCACAACCCAATTCCAAACAAAAATAAAGCCCACTGTTTGTACCTCCTCCATCCAAGCAAACCCAACCCTCTGAGCCTGTGGTTTCCGCAAGTACTGGGGTTAGAGTCATGAGGGAAGTGTGGGAAAATGTGGAGTGTCAGTCAAGAGGCAACACTAGGAGGCAAGGAATCTGCATTTCTTTCAGACCTTGGCAGAGAGCGCCCTGGGAAATGCGGATATAGAAGGTCAGGAGAACATCTCTCCTGGTTATACAGCATTCCAGGTGGGCTTTCATGTGGTTGAGGATAATATCATTAGCACCAAAGGTGAAAATCCGTGGAAGCTCATCTTATTTCAGCAGAAGAGTAGGATGGGCCTTGTGGCACGAGTAAGCCAAACAAGGGAAAGGCATTCACCATCAATTGTAAGTAAAGCCAACCATTTAATAAGGCTCCGGAAAGACAGGTGTGGTGTCTTAGTAAGTTGCTGCCCCACAAAATGTCTAATTTCCTGATAGGGGCTTTAAAAAAAAAACTGGTTTGTTACGAAAGAAATACAAAATTTTCTTTGTCATTTTTTCATTCGTCTTTCTTTGGGTGTCTCCATTTCTTATAAACTGCAGTTTTCTTCCTAAGGATCTGATTATCCTAAACATTTTTTGTTTTTGTTATTGTTTTGGAGCGGCTTGCTTTAAACTTATTTATTCCTAATTCTGTTACTTCCTGGTTTAAATTCTTTCCCTTTCTGGTTATCCTAGTTTTTTTTCTCTTCTTATTTTTGCCGGCTCTTGCCTTCTTCTCAGGTGAGTAAGCTCTCTCTCTCCTCTTAAGAAGGTGAAATGACTAATTGGAAATTCATTCTCCTGCTGCAGAAGATTTCCCGATCTTGTTAACGTGCCAAAATTTTAAGGTTGGCAGATGGAGCGAGCTAAAAAACCCCAGCACTTGCTCTGGACCCTGGAAATAGGACCCAGCTTTCCATGCTTTTCATAGCAAACCACGGCGTGGCAACAATGATAGTCAAGGGTTCCAAGATAAAATACAGCACACCCCGTGTGCATCAGATTTCAGAGAAACGACAAATAATTTTTTAGTATAAGTATGGCCCTAACCATTGCATGGGATATACTTATACCAAAAAAAACAAAAAAAAGAAAACATTGTCTTTTTATCTGAAATTCAACTTTGGGTTCCTCTGTTTTTATTTTCTAAATCTGGCAACCCTCTGCTAAATGGACTTTTAAATAAAAATTACCAGCATCACTGTGGTGATTATTTTTTATTTATGGAGGTTGGTAATGGTACCTCTGACGTTATTGACTAGGCATCAAAATAAATTTATTTGTTCTTCAAGCTTTATATTGTTTTAGTTGTTAAAAGCCAAACATAAAAAGGCCCTTTGGAGGTTGCTTTTTGAACAAAGCAGTGATAGGATCAAAATATGCCTATTTCTTCAAATATGGAAAATTAGGGAATTCCATACGGTCTTCTCGTCCTAAGATTGGCTAGTTGAACGCATTTTTAAGTGTTGGTAATATTGATGTGTTGAGAAGCATTGAAACTGATGTTTTGTAAAACATGGGGGCATGTCTGTATTATATTTATTTTATGCACAGTGACTTGGCAGTTAATGTAGCGGCTATGTTTTCTTATTTTGTTTGTTTGTTTGTTTTTCCCAAGCATCAGCTCCCACTGTAAAAAATCTGCACCTGAATAGTTAGCCATTAATCTTGAGTTACATAAAATGTGTTTTGTACATATCCTCACTTTAATGATGTCTATAGAGACAAACTTTCAAAGATGGCTTTTTTCTTTCTCTTTTTTAGATAAATGAATGTAACTTTAATGGGATTTCAAGTGCTTTCATGTTTTGCTCACAAAACCTGGTACAATGAAAAGTCTATGAACAAAGATATGTGTTTTGGTCCTTCATCGATGACTTAGGAATTGCTATTATGGGACATTTGATAAGCTAAAAAAGAAAAAATTCTGAAGGGCCTCTAAAGAGACAGCTACAAAACCTGCTACATATATGCAAAAGACCCAGTGCATTATTTGGGGTCCACGTATGTGTCTGACATTTTCTGCTGGTTCTAAGGCTCTCCTAACAATTGGGAAGGAATGCTTTTTTCATTTGGAATCTTGGTCAGCTGAACAGGAGGGTAAAACGGATTAAAGCCAGGGGAAGGGGAATGTTGGATCTCTGCCAGGCATATTTTAAAGTGAGAAAGGAAGAGAGGAAGGAGACTCACACCCAGCCAGCTGCTTTTCATACCATTCAAAGGAATCACAGACCAAATTTGGTACATACAGTAGGGGGGAAAAAAGAGCTTTAACTCCTATACTGCCATGGGAGATGAGATTTTCAAAGCTGTGTCATGTTCTTCTTTTAATTTCCAGTCGGCCTTTGTTAGCACACAGGGCTCACACCCACAGGGACAAAGGAATACCCAAAGGAAAAATCTGTGGCTCAGATAGTCTCCATATCATAGACCAGGGAATCACACCTGAAACATTGATCTTACAGTCTTTTTTGGTTTTGTTTTTCTTTGAATGGCAGCTTTAGATTGTTCTGGTTTTTGTGTGCTTACAAACAGGACTCCTCATCTGTTTTTAAGAGGGAAATCTGAGTTTTCAAGGAAAGCCGAATACAGTTGCCAAGTTGCCAGTCAAAGAAACAATGTCAACACCTGCTCATAGAGATGGAATTCCTAACCCGGAATATTGCCCTTGAATTACAACGAGAAAAAGGTAGGCCTTCCATTATTACCCACTCCCCACTCCCCCACAAAAACTCCAGCAGACCTAAGTAAAGTTAGAATGTACCACAGATTCACTTGAAGACAGATCTAAAAACTAACTTGTTAATGTAATTCAAGGTGGTAACCACTGCACACAAATATTGATTGATTATTGATTGATTACAGAAAGCATTTGTTGAGCAATCAAATGATCCGTTTAGCATGTCAAAACATTTTCCGATTTGGCTACTAGGTAAGGCAGTACTTCCCACTGTGGTGAGGAACCTCTCTCCCTCCCTCCCTTTCCTCCTTCCTCCCTCCTTCCTTCCTTCCTCCCTCTCTCCCTCCTTCCTTCCTCCCTGTCTCCCTCCTTCCTTCTCCCTTCCTTCTCTTTTCCTTCTCCCTTCGATTCCCTTCCTCCTTCTCTCCTTCCTTCTTTCCTTCAAAGTTTTTGATTCATTGTAGACCAGTACTTTTGTTAAATACAAATAAAATCAAGCTATTAGAAAAACAATACAAACCCCGTTAAGAAAAATATTGGATTAAAAGCCATAAAATTACTCCGTCAAATTGCTATGCATTTCCAAATTCTTACTCCTAAGAATTGTCATAAACTGTAATAAACAATCCACAGACCAGTGCTGGTCCACTTTCGATACCCTGGGGAGCCGTGATAAAACGTATTCCCCAACGATAAGAAAACAATTCACAGAGACTTTTAAAGAATTATTTTAGAATCTATACTGAACTAGAAGCTTTATAATCTAAGATGAATAGAAACTATATCCATTTACACTATTGATGAAAAGAAAAAAATACACTAAACTATTCTAGTAAAAAATGAAAAGTTTACCTCAATGATCTCAGTAGTCACCTGATGCCAAACATTTCTAAAGTCATAATTTAATGAGAAATTTAAAAATCATTTGTAATTACATGAATGATTTAAAAGTTGGGACATGGGCCCATTGAAAATACATCTTTGTTTACTGGCAAAGTTGGAAATTGGTAGCTGTACCCCGGCTCCAACTGGTTTCTTGAATCCCTATTTTTTTTTTTTTTTGCCACATTAAAGAGAGGAAAACAAAGCTCACCTGCTAGTTTACCACACTCAATCTATAAAAATCTCAATGACTTCCCCCAGAAAGCTATGTAGACTATAAAATATTTCAGTGTTTCTAACATAATTTCTGCTATTGTACATCAACATTTTTTTAGATCACTAAACAATTGAGACAGAGTTGTAAGTAGAAAGATCTGAAATGAAAATAGAGAATTTTATTGAATGAATACATAAAATTTAGTATGTATCAAGGAGAGTTCTAAAGACTTACAAAAACTAGCCCACTAAATACTCATAACAATCTCTGAGGTATGCTCTATTTTAATCTTCATTTTATAGGTGAGGAAACTAAGCACAGAGAGGGTAAATGATGATTGTAGTTTGTGGGTGACAGAGGCCAAATTTGAAGCCAGGTGATCTAGCTTGAGAGTCCTACTGAATTCCTTACAGAAAGGGCATCTTCTAACTGACAATCAGAAAGAAGGATAAATAAAGCATCTTTAGAATCATACGGATCATTCAATTGGATGATTGAATGAACACTGTGATTTAAATAAATATTTTCCATGAACATATTTAATTCATAGAACATGGTAGAAGGCAGAAGCCATAGGTTTAACCTTAGATCACTGAAGATTCATTGGTAATCCTTTCACCATTCACCCCTCCTTTTAAAAACCAAATCTGTGTCCTTTGAGCAAGACAGCTATAGTAATATCATGACCACTTGCTTGCCGTAATATCTTTCTTTGTAAACATCTATCCCTAATTTGTCCTTTATAAAGGAAAATAATTCCCACGTTAGTTCTCATGTATGTATCATGTATTATACTCTATCAGAATTTATAAAAGGACCAATGGTTTTTCAGGTGTAGGCAACAGAAACTATGCAAGCATTTCCAGAATCCAGAGAAGGATTAGTATTGTCATATATAAATCAAAGCCTACATACATATAAGTACTATTATGAGGGAGACATTCCCAAGGGGTAAAGGACAGAGCTGGACAACAATAATTATAGTAGGGTTCTGTTAGCACAAACGTTAACAAATACATAACGGGAATATAAAAACTTGAATATAAAATATATTCTTGAATATAAAAACTAATAGACGATTTTAAAAAACCCTAACAGAGAAATTGGAATAATTACTCAACTAATGTCATATGAAATATTACAAGAACGCTGTGGAGGTAAAAAGATTAGATTTTCAATTCATATTCAAAACCAAAATAAATAACAGACAGAAAAGTTAAATATACAAAGTGAAGCCATAGAAAATTAGAGAAAAACATAAGGAAGGCAAATTTTTGTCTTGATAATTTCATTTCTTGCTTTTATGTGAAAGCATTTATAAAGAACAATTTTAAATAAAATGCAATTAAAATATAAAGAAAAGTTCATGTTTGAGTTCATAAAAATCCGTTTATCAAAAACATCATATATAACAGTAAAAATGAAAGACAAATTAAGAAATATATATGGATCTATTAAAGAGCAAAACCCTGTGGATACAATAATAGATAGTATGTATGCAAAATCCCAAACCAGAAAATGTATGGAGGAAGAAATTCAAATGAAACAATGCATATAAAAACTATCTCTGTAAGAATCAAGAAATATAAGTAAAAACAAAATGCAATATAGCATTTTACCCATCAAATTTGTAAACACCTTTAATTGATTATATGTAATGATACAATGAGGTACAATGAAATAGGCCCACTCATATATGGCTGGTGAGTGTTTCAATTGCTGTCCAGAAAGCAATTTGGTAGCATGTATCAAAAACTAAAAACAATGTTATATTTGACACAGGATTTTTATTTCTAAAAGTTTTCTTCTTAAAGGTTTATGTGCAGGATATTCGTAGTAGTATTAATTATATTAATAAGCTATCAGAGGCAACTTAGTATCTAATAATTTAATGTGGGTTAAATATATATGCATATGACATATCTATAAAACTGGATATTATGAAACAATCAAAAACATGTTTTGGTGGAATGACTTTGAAAGACTTTCAGAATGAAATAACTGATCAAAAGTCACAAAATGTTACATAGAATGTGATATCAGTATTTTGTATTGCTACCAGGACTGCAAACTCAACTGCCCATAGTCCCCAGAGAGGAACCATAGAGGTACTGTGGACAGGGAAGTTGTCTATTAAAATGCAACAGGATTTTTTTTCTCTTGCTTTTCTAGAAACATTCAGCTTTCTTGGTCTAGCTTTCTCTTTTGCAATCATCTTTCCTCCCGACAACACCCGTATTTCTTTCCTCTTACTCTAATTGAAGACCAGCCACAGGAAAATCTCTAGGGTAAGACAGCATAATAACTGGCAAGACAACTCAGTAGCAACAAAGGGCAAGCAGGGGTGGGTGTGGCAAGCAGGAGAGAGGAGCTCTCCGAAGATAGGGGCCCTAACCCAGCTCCAATCTTTCCATGCCACTGTAGACTGCAGCCCAGACAAAAACGCATTGAGGTGCTTCCAGTTTTTGACTTCCAACATTCATACTTATATGTGCAAATGGAAAAAAATACTGGAAAGAGGCTGGGCAGGGTGGCTCATGCCTGTAATCCTAGCATTTTGGGAGGTTAAGGCGGGCAGATCACCTGAGGTCAGGAGTTCGAGATCAGCCTGGCCAATGTGGCGAAACCCCATCTGTACTAAAAATACAAAGATTAGCCATGCCTGGTGGCACACGCCTGTGATCCCAGCTACTTGGGAGGGAGAGGCAGGAGAATCGCTTGAATCTGGGAGGTGGAGGTTGCAGTGAGCCAGGACTGCACCACTGCACTCCAGCCTGGGTGACAGAGCGAGACTCCATCTCAAAAAAAAAAAAAAAAAAAAAAAAAAAGATGGAAAGAAATATACAAAAGTAATACAATTATTGGTACAATTTCAATCATTTAATTTTATTTTCTTCATACCTTTCCTTATTTACTAAGTTATTTCCATATATTTCTTTCTATAATCAGAAAACCAGGACCATTCTCATATTATTCTATTTAGTCACCCTTTTAGGGGGTACAAAGTAGTTTTAGAAAAAAAAAGGTCCTATTTTGAAGTTTGCCTCTGACCTTCTATTTTGAAATATATCCATACAGCTACATTCTTATAGACTGTTGTTATTTGTACAAACATTTCTTACTGGTCTGAAGCTTCTTTGAAAAGCAGGGCTTCAAAAATTTGTCTAATTTTTCTCCCTTATGGCTTGCACTAATCATTTTTGGCCTCATTTTCAGCAAATCATATCTAATGTCCTCAAGTATTTCTAGGTGATGTTAAGCAATTTTCTAATCTAGTGGTAGAGTCTATTGGTGATATGATTTTGACAGTTCACTGGCCAAAGTGTCTTTTATTATAGAAAATATTAGGACATCCCATAATGATTTGAACCGGCATGGCTTTGGAAGCAGAAAAGAAGGCTTTAAGGTTTAAGCTAGCACTGCCATGCCATCTCTGGGACACATGCTTCTCTGGATAGTCACCTTATAAATGGGGATTAAAAAAAGAAAGGGGAATATAGAATGCAGCCAACCAGTGCAGTACTCGATCTAGGAAAAAAGAATGTAGCAAGCTCAGCTGATTGAGGGTAATGATAAAATAACTGGGAAAAACTACAGAGCCCTGACTTTACGTAGGGACAAAGAATACTTTTCACAAAGCTCAAACGAATTAATTACAGAATCACTGCTGTATATGAACAATAATCTTTATATACCTCTGCCTTCGGGTGTCTTCTGTTTAAAAGCTAAGGCTTCCTGAGAAACAAGCTTGTTTGACCATTTCTCTCCTGTTTATAAAGTTTGCGTTTTATGAAAATTGGGAAACCGGAGAGAAAAAGCTTGAGTTCACTTTTAACCAGCTGTTGTTTTTTTCTAATTTCTCTGTTTTACTCTAAGTATGTTCTGTTTTTAAAAGTATTAAATGAAAAGCAAAAATGAAAATTGTTGATAGCATAAAAACAACTGTATCCTAGCTATTAGGCCAGCATTACTGGACTAGAAACCATTATAATTCATTTGCAAAAAAAGGCTTGATATAACATTTAAATAAGAATTTGTGTGTGTGTGTGTGTGTGACATCAAACCTTAAGGGCTTTCTTCCCACTGAAGCATTAAAAAGTGAGAATTCTGATTTCTGGTTGACAATGTTTCAATGAATATGTCACTTTATAATTACAAATGCAAGGGAGGAACTTTTTATAACTGAATATTTAACACATATTAAAGTTCTAACACACGCCACATAATTTTTGTCTGAGATTGTCCATGAAGTGGGTATCTCAAATCATTCACTTGAAAACTGAAAATAATTTTCTGAGATGAGTTCACTATGAAAACAGGGATATGACCAGCTGCCCTGTAGCTTTTCCTTCCCTGCACTCCTGTGTGTGTGTGTGTGTGTGTCTACGTGTGTGTGTTTTAATAACATAATCCTTATAGGCAAATAAAGATCAAAAGGAGTAGATGGTAAATATTTCCTGTAGAGGCAGGAGGTAGAGAATGGTTAAATTCACTGTCTTTCAGATTTTCACTTTGCTTAATTCTAGAACACTTCTTATTCCTGTAGCACCTCTTCAAGTGAGATGGCAGACCACCTCAGGATGGAAATGTATTTCTTCATCCCCCTCTCTACTTCCCTGTGACCTCCTGCAAATAAGGTGAGGCTGTTTATTTTCTCACTTGATTTCCATTCTTTGAGTTGAATCACAGATTGCAGCAAACTTGTAATAGCAGATTGAGAAATATAGAACTATTTCAAGGGTTTGTGGTTTATAACTTCCTTTTAAAAGAATTAACCCTTTCTAGGAATTTTTTTTTTTTTTTCAAATGGATCACAAGGTGTGACGCAAGATTTCTCATCATCCTGATCTGTATTATGGTTGGCTTATTGGGTGCCTTCCTGATGTGGTAGTCCAGGGTCATTTTTTATTCCCTCTTGTAAATACCCAAGACCAGAAATCTATAGGTATAGTGAGTCCAAAGGAGATTTCTCTTCATGATAACCCTTAACATGGGCATTATCTCATGTAATGCTACAGAAGCACGATGAGGCATGTATTGTCCCTGTGTCACTGAGGAAATGAAAACATAGCCAAAGTAGCCCTGCCGGTAGACAGTGGCGCAATTGTGAGCAATTCCAGCTCCTGTGTGGCTGACCCCGGAGCCAGTGCTTTACCAGAGATTTTCCACCTTGGCCTAGACCTTTTGTTTTATTTATTTATTTTTCCAATTTTGGAGGTTCCACTTGCAGAAAACATTTTTTTTAAATTAGTTTTTTTCTAATTGACAAATAAAAATGATATATATTTATGATATACAACCTGACATTTTGATATATGTATGCATTGTGGAATGGCTAAATCAAGCCCATTAGCATATCTAATACCTCACATACTTTGCATTCTTTTGTGGTGAGAACACTTAAATTCTACACTCTCAGCAATTTTCAAGTGTAAAATACATTGAATACATTTACTATATAGTCACCATGTTGTGCAATGGACCTCTTGAACTTCTTTCTCCTAACTGAAGTTTTGTATCCTTTGACCAACTTCTCTCCAATTTCTTCCCCCATCCCTCCCATGCTCTAGTAACCACCCTTCTTCTACTCTCTGCTTCTAAGAGATATTTTTTTGTGGATTCCACATATAAGGGAGACCATGCAGTGTTTGTTTTTCTGTGCCTGGCTTACTTCACTTAACATAATGTCCTCCAGGTTCATCCATGTTGTCACAAATAACAGGATCTCCTTCTTTTTTTAAGGTTAAATAGTATTTCCTGTATATATATATCACATTTTAAAAATCCATTTATCTGTTGTTTGACACTGAGGTTGACTCCGTATCTTGGCTATTGTGAATTGAGCTGAAATGAACATGGGAGAGCAGATATCTCTTCAACATATTGATTTTATTTCCTTTGGATATATAGCCAGTAGTGTGATTGCTAGATCATATCATAATTCTGTCTGGGCTGGGAACTTTTAAAATCCCAATGTCCATGGCACACTCCAGATGATATTGAGATAGAATCTCAGAAGCTGGCACCCAGGTGTCAGTATTATTTAAAACTTCCAGGTGATGCTGATGTAAAGGGTGGGTTCGGTGCCACTGCATTACATGGATCCCTGATTGATCACCATGAAGAATCAAGGTGAGGATTGGCTGTAACTCAAACTTGAGTGAAATGCATATGGAATTTTATGCATATTCATCTTATATTTGACAGTAATCTTTCATAATGCAAATTTAATGGAACTTGACTTGAAAAAGGTAAAACTATATAATTAAGCACTTTCAACTGTAGTGTTTTCTATTGTAACTGAACACTTTGGTTGTAGATATTCATGGATCCAAGCCTACCTATGTGAAGTCTGGTTGTAGAGGTGAGGCCATGTGGAAGGCAGTTTGCAAACTCTATCAGCCACCTGTACAGGTGATGATATGGACAGGAGACAGGGACATACTAGGTAGGAGAAGGCAGTTACCCAGCAAGGGCCCCACCCTCAAAACAGAAATCCTGTGGCCCTAAATGGGAACAGGTATTCCTGTTTTTGTGCCCAAAAGTTGCCTTTTGCCCCATCACACCTC
Organism: Homo sapiens; assembly: GCF_000001405.40. NCBI lineage: Eukaryota > Metazoa > Chordata > Mammalia > Primates > Hominidae > Homo > Homo sapiens. Next base: position 10,784,712 of record NC_000010.11, on the reverse strand, counting down.
CCTATCCTGTACCCACATAAACCCCAAACTGCTGGCTCCACAGGGAGAGACAAAGAGAAGAGCAGAAGAACAGAAGAATGGAGTGGCAAAGAGAAGAGAAGGAGTGACTGAACATTGACAAGACTTTGGTTGGGGATGGTCAGAGAGGAGATTAGCTGCTAGACGGCCACACTGCGGAGAAAGATCATTTTCCCACTCCATCCCCCTTCCAGCTCCCCATCCATCTCACCAAGAGCCAGCTCCACCACTCAATAAAACCTTACATTCATCTTTCAAGTCTGTGTGTGACCTGATTCTTCCTGGATGCTGGACAAGGACTTGGGTATCAAGAGGGCACTGAGCTGGTTAACACTTAAGCTGTTCATGGACAACAAGGCTAGCACTGTAACACGCTGACTGGGGCTTTGGGAGTCATGGACACCCACCCCTAGATGCTGCCATGGGGCTGGAACCCAGGGGTGCTCATCCCAGCTCCTACACCTGCCCATCTGTGTGCTCCCCAGCCTGTAAGGAGTTTAAGCACACAGCACCAGAATAAATGAGGCATATCCCTGTTGCTCATCCTGCAAGGGGGTTCAGGGAACTCTCCCATTTCAGTGAGATGGGTTGAAATGTGTTTAGTTGAATATCTGGAGCCATCTAAACCTCAGAAATAAAACCCCAGTTGACTCAAAGTCAGCAAGTTGGAGGTCATGACCTTCAGTTCTTTATTTATTTTTTTTTTTTGGGAAGGAGTCTTGCTCTGCCACCAGGCTAGAGTGCAGTGGCACGATCTTGGCTCACTGCAAGCTCTGCCTCCCAGGTTTAAGCAATTCTCCTGCCTCAGCCTCCCAAGTAGCTGGGACTACAGGTGTGTACCACCACGCCCAGCTACTTTTTTTTTGTATTTTTAGTAGAGACAAGGTTTCACCATGTTGCCAGGATGGTCTCAATCTCTTGATGCCGTGATCTGCCCGCCTTGGCCTCCCAAAGTGCTGGGATTATAGGCATGAGCCACTGTGCCCAGCCCCATGACATGCAGTTCTGATTTTGTTTGAGAGCACTCCTGCTTGGAGACTGAAGATTGTTGCTTAGAACTTCAACTGCAGAGCATTCAGTTCTTCTGGAAATAATACTGCATTCATTTCCTGGGGTCACTGTCACAAAGTCTCACAAACTGAGTGTCTTGAAAACAGAATTTTATTGTCTCATACTTCTGGAGGCTGGAAGTCTAAGATCATGGTGTCGGTACTGGCAGGGTTGGTTCCTTCTGAGGCTGTGAGAGAGAATCTGTTCTGCCACTCTCTGAGCTTCTGGTAGCCTCAGGCATCCCTTGGTTTGTAGATGGCCATCTCCTCTGTGGGTTCTCCCTCTGTACTTTCCCTCTGTATCTTCCTGTCCCTGTACCTGTCTCTGTGTTCAAAGTCTCCCTTTTGCTAAGGACACAGTCATACCGGATTAGGGCTCTCCCTAATGACCTCAACTTGTGCATCTGCAAAGACTTTATTTCAAGTAAGGTCACAGTCACAGATACTGTGAATTAGGACTTCAATATCATCTTGGGGGACTCATTTCAGCCCATAACAAATCTTTTCTGCCACCCGAAAGAAGTCAGGACTAACCAGAAAGAGTGAAAACCCTTCACAAGAGGAAATTTCTTAATGTTTCTGAAAAAAGAGATACATCCTACCTTAAACCTATATAGGATTTTACAGACTATAAAACATATTCATGATCTTCATAGTAACCCTTCAAATCTACTAAATACATTTATAGTCAGAACGTTTAATTAAACACTTTGAGGTCACATTCACAAGGGAGGGTCTACGGCTGAACTTTAGTCATACAATCCCATTCATGTTTACTGCTCTCCCCAAATAAATGAGCAGTCCAGTCTGACTCATCACAGACCAGGGGGCACGATGGCTGAGAAACCGCAGACTAACCTAGCTGACATCACAAAGAACCTGAAAGGTCTGGTCACAAGAGAGCAAAGGAAGGTGAATAAATCCTCCTTCAGAAAGTGGCGCATTCAGGATGAGATGCTGAGGAAGAAAGGAAAACACAGTGCTACCACTTGGTGAGCTTCCCATAAAGATTGTTTACTGGCAAGGGGGGAAGGACACTGTGATGGTTGATTTTGTGTTAACTAGACTGGGCTATGAGGTGCCCAGATTAAACATTGTTTTGGGTACATTTGTGAGGGTGTTTCCAGATGAGCTTAGCATTTGAATCAGTGAACTTGAAAGCAGATGGCCCTCCCCAATGTAGATGGGCATCATCTAGTCCACTGAAGGCCCGACTAGAACAGAAAGGCAGAGGAAGGAGGAATTTGCCCCCTTTCTTTCTGCCTCACTGATTGAGCTGGGACATCTCATCTCTTCTTCTCCTGCCACACACTGCGATTTATACGAACAGCTCTCCCAGGTTCTCTGTCCTCGAACTGAATTTAGCTTTCCTCAAAACCACTAGCTTTCCTGGGTTGCCAGTTCACTGCTGGCAGATCTTGGGACTTTTCTGTCTTTATAATAGCATGAACCAATTTCTCATAATAAATTTCTTCCTATATACAGTTGTCCCTTGGGATCCACAGGGGATTAGTTCCAGGACCCCCATGAATACCAAAATTGGAGGATGCTGAAATTCCTTCCGTAAAATGGCATAATATTTTCATATAAGTTATGTAATCCTCCCTTATACTTTAAATCATCTCTCAATTACTTAAAATACCGAATAAAATGTAAATGCTGTGTAAATAGTTGTTATACTGTATTGCTTTTTAAATTTGTATTATTTTTATTGCCATATTATTACCTTTTATTTTAATCATTTTAGTATGTTTTTGATTCACGGTTGGTTGAATCCACAGTTGTAGTATGGATACAGGGAGGTGACTGTATACAGGCATGTGCCACTTAACAATGGGGATATGTTCTGAGAAGTGTGTCTGTAGGTGATTTTGTCATTGTGGGACCAGCGTAGAGTGTACTTACACAAACCTAGATGGTAGAGCCTAATACACACCTAGGCTACTGATGTGATTTGGTTGTGTCCCCACCCAAATCTCATCTTGAACTGTAGTTCCCATAATCCCCATGTGTCATGGGAGGGGCCTAGTGGGAGGTAACTGAATCATGGAGGCAGGTTTTTCTTGTGCTGTTCTCATGATAGTGAATAAGTCTCATGAGATCTGATGGTCTTATAAAGGGCAGTTCCCCTGCACACACATTCCAGCCTGCCTCCGTGTAAGACGTGCCTTTGCTCCTCCTTCACCTTCTGCCATAGATTGTGAGGCCTCCCCAGCCATGTGGAACTGTGAGTCCATTAAACCTCCTTTCCTTTATAAATTAACCAGTCTTCTGTATGTCTTTATTTGCAGCATGAGAACAGACTAACACAGCTACCAACCTGTATAGCATGTTACTGTACCAAATACTATAGGCAAATGTAACACAATGCTAAGTATTTGTGTATCTAAATGTATTTAAACATAAAAAAGGTAAAAATATGGCATTATAATCTGCTGGGGCCACTCATATATGTGGTCTGTTGTTGACCAAAATGCCATTATGTGGTGCAAGACTGTATGTACTATTTGTTCTCTTTCAGTGAAGATCACTGATTAATACAGACACTGAAGACTACCTTTTTTTTGGTAAGTGGGTTCATTTTCACAACGTGCTTTCTTTGTGGAATTATTTGCTTTCTGAGCATTTCTGTGATGACTCAAAAAGAGTAGAATGTTTTATCAATGAGGCATGTTGCTTTTTGAAACCTGCTGAGCCCCAAGTGAAGTAGTTGCTCAGTCTGTAGTAACCCCAACTTAATACTCATTGGCATGTTAATTAGAGTTGTGCTGATGAGTGGGATTCTAGACAATGATGTCAAATACAAACCCCTGCAAATACCACAGGCTGGGATTATATAAGCCCCTTGGCTTAAGTGTTTCCCTGTTTGCCGGGCGCAGTGGCTCATGCCTGTAATCCCAGCACTTTGGGAAGCCAAAGCAGGTGGATGGCAAGGTCAAGAGATGGAGACCATCCTGGCCAACATGGTGAAACCCTGTCTCTATTAAAAATACAAAAATTAGCTGGGCACGGTAGCAGGCGCCTGTAATCCCAGCTACTTGGGAGGCTGAGGCAGGAGAATCGCTTGAACCCAGGAGGCAGAGGTTGCAGTGAGCTGAGATAGTGCCACTGCACTCCAGCCAGGCAACAGAGCGAGACTCCATCTCAAAACAAACAAACAAACAAACAAACAAACAAACAAACAAACAAACGTTTCCCTCTGTTATCACTGTCACAGATTAGGATGGAAAGAGGTCTCTTGAATTTACCAGGATATACTGCTAATCTGGCAACACCAAGAAGCACTGAGCACCTATCTTCTTTAAAATGCCTAGGGTAAGTGCCTCCAGGAATCATTAATTCTTATTCTTGCCAGATAGTCATATGCACAGAATTAGGGGAGATTGGGAAGCTCTATAAAATGGTTAGTTGGCTCTGACTCCATATTAAAACAACACAAAACAACCAGAGAATTTGAATAACATCAGATGTCCAAGTTCATGATTGAAAATGTACTTTTTTCAAAGAAAGTGTGGACTATTCCTCTTAGGAAAAACAAAATAACACAAAAACACAAAACATTCTACTGTCAGAAATATCAGAACTTAAAGTGAACAAAAAAGTTATTAGAACCCACTAGTCCATCTCTCCCTTTCCATGTTACCCGCAAAACATCCCTAACCTCCCATCACCTTGAACTCCCAGTCCCACCCAAACCTTTCTGCAGTGATCCATCCACTGATCTGATATGCCTTTAGGTCTCTGGGAGATATTTCACACCTAGAAAGTTTAAAGTTTTTTTTTTTTTAATAGCTTTCAGGCCAATGAGTTCATTTTATAGAAAAAGAAATTAAGATATGGAGGGAAAATTTAGATCTGTGATTCTCAATACTGACTGCACTTTAGCATTTCTTGGGGAAGCATTTTAAAAATACCAATGCCTGGGCTGCATCCCAGAATATTTGATTTCAGATCTCTTGAGATGAGGCCATGAGCATCTCCTTAAAATAATATCTCCTCAGATGAATATGATGTAGAGCGAGGCAGAAAAACCCTTCGCTGGATGTTCATGGTCATCACAGCTAGGGCTAATGCTCAATAGCTAGAAAGTTTTCCACAGCCACATGAGGTGAGGGAGACGGAGCCAGAAGAAAGGAGAAAAGGAAGGGAAAAAAAAAGAGGAAGGAGAAGGAAGGGTGGAGAATCAGGAAGGTTTGTCAAGGTGCAATGAACGGGGCCCAAGAATAAAGACATTTGCTGCTCCTCTGATCCGGCCCTGGCTTGAGTAAGGTTTTTACATGTGCGAAGTGCAGGGTCCTCATATTTAGTCTTTACTCACACCAACCATATGTTGCATTAAGTGACAGTGCAGAACAAGCCTGTGTTAGGGAAAGTAGGGCAAAGCTAGCTTGAAGTTTCTGGCTCCTGAGTTTTGAAACTATTCTTTAAACCTTGGAGATACGCTGTTACATAAGAGGGTCAAATGAACACAGTCTGTGAGCTGTAATCCATTCTGCAAATGTTAGTCATGGAGAGATGATACAGTATAAGGAGGCGGGAAAGGGTGAATGGGGAAAGATGAACTCAGACTTTGTCAAATGCCCAGTACCTGTTAGGTTCTTTGCAAATACCTTCTCCTAAGGCCCCCATCTTTGTTCTTTTTCTGTTGGCCTTCAGTGGAGATAGTGTATAAATTCATTAGTTAGGCCTGATTGTGGGATCCAAATGGGTGTCAAGACCTGTTGCCTACCTCCACATCTAAGTTCAAATGTCACATCCTCCATGCCTTCCTAGACTCCCAGCACAAATTTTAATTGTTTCTTCCTGCAATCCCATTGCACCATATATGTACCTGGACTGCAACCCACTGTTCCCTAGTTGCCTGTGCCCAGCAGACCGAGATTCTCAGAGTTCTTAATTATGGCAAATTTTTGGTCTTAAAAATTTATTCATTTTTTACATATATTTATCAATCATTATTAACCAGAATCAATGCTATTAGCCAGCAAAAGGTATATCACCATGAGGGACTTAGAGAGTCTCCTCAGAGGCAAACACGTAAACAGGTGATTACTCTTCAGGGTAATAAAAAGGGCAATACAAATCTCAGTTCACAACTCTCAACTATAAGAAATGTGTTCTATTTGTCTATAATTTGACTTTATTTATTTTTTGAGCTCCCATTTCACCAGGGAAGCTCAGTTATTTCTCAGTTAAGTCATAATTTTTCTCTCTTTTCCTGGCTTGACCTAAGTTCTGGGAACATATCAATTTGCCAAAGTTTTGTAGGCAGGAGAGTCACTGGATGTAGGACTCTGTGTACGACTCTGTGTACAATGCATGCATTTTCTTGGACATCCATGCAGGAAGGCATTGAGATGCTTCATATTCTTGCCAATCTGGCCCCTCCAGGTTGTAAAGGTCCCTCTCTTGGGTCATTGAATCTGCGTAAGATCCCTTTCAAATCTTCCCCACCTTCACTACGACCAAGAAACTGGGACCTCCAACACCCCTTGCTCCCTTTCTGGACTTATAAATTCAACTACAGTTTTGTTGTCACGACACTGGACTCTTTCCAAAATATGGGGTGCAGGGCCCCCATCTCCCGAACCTGATTGCACCAGTGTCTATACTTAACAGGAGACATGATTTTTTGTTTGTTTTTAGGAATTCTTGCAGGAAGTAACTCTAGAATGAGACCTGAAGTTGTCAAGTAGAAAAGGGGTGCGGCTGAAGAACTGCTGTAGAGGCAGACAGAACAGCTGTGCAGGAAGTGAGAGCAAGGTGGGTAAGAAGCTGCTGAGAGTTTATTAGGGTTGAGTTTAGGGTAAGGGCCAGGAAGTGATAAGGGAGAGAGGTAGGTAACGGCCAGATCATGAAGAGCTATGGAGTCAGGTTTGGGATTTCGGTTCATCCTCAAGGCAAAGGGGGCTAGTGTAGAGGACCACACACAGATTTCAGCAGAGGGGCAAATTATCATTTGCATTGTAGAAACATCACCCTGGCTGCACCGGAAACATGGACTGGAACGAAGAAAGATTGGAGGTGGGGAGACAAGTTGACCAAGGCTTTGACCCAGGCAGCAGAGGAGAAAGGATCTGAGTCAAGGCAGAGGCAGGAGGAGAGGAGAAAAGAGTAAACAGAAAGATGTCGCGAAGGCTGGACTGAGTGGCTGATGGGATGTTGAGGATGAAGGAGATAGAGGGGTGAGGTGTGATAGCTAGGATGCCAGCTCGGACAGCTTGTTACATGTGATTGCATCATTCAAGACAGAAAGCACAGAAGGAGAAGCTGCCTTGACAAGATGATTATGAATTCAGTCTAGGAAGTATTTGCTGAATTTGTAGCACCTGGGACATCTGTATGAGGATGCACCAGGGCCAAGAGTATACGTAGGCCCAGAGCATGGGACAGAGCTCTGGATGGAGGTGACAATGTGGGGATCAATCGAGCGAGGTGTATCTAAAGCTGGTGGAGTGGAAGAGGGTTTTCTGGTGTGGTCAGAGTGTAAAGTCAGGAGAAGTTAGTGCCAAGAGCACAATGCTGAGAGACACTGACCACAGCGGGTGCATGGACAAGAGAGGGCACACAAGAGATGCCACAATCGGGAGGCGGGTAGCGCATGGGAATGAAAACCTGGAGAGATGGAGACCATGGAACTCCAGAAAAGAGAATATTTATAAAAGAAGGGAGTGAGTGATTGGCCGAATGGCATAGCCAAGACGTGAAGAGAATGCAGAGGGCATGGCCTTCCGGAGGACGTGTTGACCTTTGTAGGTCATTGTCACAAGAGTGACAGCAGGAAGCCAAGTGGCCGCTGGCCAATGGGGAAAATAAGGCCTAAAGAAGCTGTCTTCAGATCATTTAGTACCCCTGCTTGAAACTCCTCCCTGGGCTTCCACAAGCTGAGGGCTAGAAGGCCAAGGGCATGAGGCGATGGGAGCTGGGGCTGCTGGGCTGGTCCTGCTCTGTGCATGCAGCCGGGAGTGGGGATGTGGAGCAAACATGAACGCTGGGGTGGCCCACAGTGAAGTGAATCCAAATACCCATGTAGTGGACAGCCAGGGTCTGTGGCTGACACACGCATTGGGCTCCTTTTGTCTTACTCAGCATTCCTTCTTCCGTGTTCTCATTGCTTAGATCTTGACAAATATTATACATAATCTGGGGATGAATGAATTTTTCCATGCTTGAAAGGAACACCTTTGGAAACCCCTGACCAGGGTAAAGCAAGGATCCCAACGCACTGCGAACAGCTGGGTGACGGAGTACCGTTTACATCTTCACAGAAGTTTTTCACCATTTCTCCAATCATTCTGTGTTTTCCAGCAAGTTTCTATAGAAGTATGCTCCAACTCACTCCGTCGTAAGCACGGCTTCTCTCCTGAGTATGCTAAACTCCCCAAACGCAGCAACAACACAGCGTTCCGATCTTTGGAATTAATAAGCAGTGAAACGTTTGAAACTGAACAAAAATTTTTACAGCTACTGAACTTCCTGTAAGGAAGGCATGCTTAGTAAACTGCACTCTTTCTGTAATACTGTGAAATGGGAGGTATTTACGTTGGAGGGCTGATTGCTGGTTCTTCATATGATGTTTTGAAGTGGAGGTTTCTATTAATGATGCCTCTGTTGAGCACATCTGGTATATTTCTGAAGAGAGGCTTTGTAAACACATTGGGCAGGCCCAGCTTGTAAGTGACAAGGCAGCACAGTGAGGGTGCAGTGGAGAAATCCAAGGAAATAAGGGATTTGTAAGAAACTAGGACCAGCTTAAGTTATAATGAAAGGGCATCGTGTTAGGAAAAGAACATTTCCATCCTTCAGTCACCATCAGTTAAAGCAGACGTACATGGAAACCAGAATGATCTCTTTACAAGGTTATTAAAGATTGTTTTTATTACCATAAATCACTCCTCATTGGTCTCCTATCTCCAATTTGATGTTTAGAATCTAATCTGGAATTCTTATGATGCCCTAGGAGGCCCCTGATGCTCTGCCTCCTGGTCTGTTTCTATGTCTCTGTCCCCTATATATATATTTTTTTTTTTTTGAGACAGAGTCTCTCTCTGTCATGCAGCGGCACCATCTCAGTTCACTACAGCCTCTGCCTGCTGGGTTCAAGTGATTTTCCTGTCTCAGCCTTCCAAGTAGCTGGAATTACATGCATGCATATGACCAGCTAATTTTTGTAGTTTTAGTAGAGACTGGGTTTTACCATGTTGGCCAGGCTGGTCTCAAATTCCTGATCTGAAGTCATTGCCTGCCTTGGCCTCCCAAACTGCTGGGATTACAGGTGTGAGCCACCGCACCTGGCCTCCATCTCCTGCTTTCTCTCTGTACCATCCCAGAGCCCCAGTGCCTCCTTGCTGTGCCTCAGACAGGCCAAGGTTGTTCCTCTGTCAGGGCCTTTGCAGTGGCTGTTCCTTTCCCTAGATATTTCCAAGACCCTCTCCTCACATTCCAGGTCTTAACTAAAACATGACCTCACGCTAGGCACTGTGGCTCACGCCTGTAATCCCGGTACTTTGGGAGGCTGAGGCCGGTGGATCACCTGAGATCAGGAGGCCAAGACCAGCCTAGCCAACATGGTGAAACCTGTCTCTACTGAAAATACAAAAATTAGCTGGCATGATGGTGAACACCTGTGATCCCAGCTACTCGGGAGGCTGAGGCAGGAGAATTGCTTGAACCTGGGAGGTGGAGGTTGCAGTGAGCCAAGATTGCACCACTGCACTCCAGCCTGGGTGACACAGAGAGACTTTGACTCAAAAAAAAAAAAATAAATAAATAAAAATAAAAGTAAATAAATAAATATCAGCTCACCCAAGAGGCCTTCCCTGGGCATTCTTAGAGAAAATGCCACCAGTGCCCTAAACCCGCTGGTCCCTTCTCACCACACCATCCTATTTGTATTAGTTCCTTCTCACACTGCCATAAAGAAATACCTGAGGCTGGGCCATTTATAAAGAAAAGAGGTTTAATTGGCTCAGGCTTCCTCAGGCTGTGCGGGAAGCACTGCGCCATCTGCTTGGCTTCTGAGGAGGCCATGGGAAACTTACAGTCATCGCGGAAGGCAAGGGGAAGCCAGCACATCTCACATGGCAGGAGCGAGAGCGGGGGCAGGGAAGGTGCCACACACTTTTAAACAACCAGATCTCATAAGAACTCTATCATGAGAACGGCACCAAAGCGATGGTGCTAAACCATTCATGAAGGATCCACCCCCATGATCCAGTCACCTCCCACCAGGTCCCACCTCCAGCATGGGGGATTACAACTGAACCTGAGGTTTGGGTGGGAACCCAGATCCAAACTGTATCCCCCATACCACCCTGTTTTAACTACTTCATAGTGCACGGCCGCCCCTACATGTGCACATTCACTAATTTGTCTATGTGTACCGTGTGCTTCCGTCTATCCACAAAGGCTCCTTGAAGTCAGGGGCCCCATCTCTCGTGTTTGGAATTGTATTTCCAGTACCTAGAACACTGATGAGTGAATGCTTAATAAATATTTCTCTGCTGATAGAAAGAAATCCTTTATGGAAATCTCTTAAGGAAGTTACCAGGCAGCATAAATGGCCTGATTCAGATTTGGGACTAGTCTCCAGCAGCAACAATCTTGGCCTTTTCTCTCCATGACAGTAGAAAATATCAAGTATGGAAGTGGTGGGGAATTGTTTTGCTGTGAATATGGGGAAGATAATGATGGGAGGATAATGATGAACCTGTCGCTCATTGACTCAGACCCTCACTTGCAAATATTCACATTGCAACTAGGCAGCAGTGTTTATCGCAAAGGTTTGCTTAGCAAATTAAAAGGAAGGAGCAGTGGGTCTGGGCCATGTGAAGAAGGAAGAGGAGGGAGAACAGTCAGAGACAGGGAAAAGGTCAAGGTTGAGAGATTAAAAAATCCCAGAACTGTGGAGCATGGAGGGCTGGGCTTTGAAAAATACCCCCAGAGTTTCCAGTTTATCTGGTATAAAGGATTTGCATTTTTAGAAAAGTCCTGCAGGTAATTCTAACATACAGCCAGTGTTGAAATACCACTCAAATCAAAGAACAAATGTAGTCAGAGGTACCCAGTTAAAGCTCAGCATGCTTGTCAAATAGTCAGTCTTATATTTTTTTCCAGTGGCTTATTTTTACCCATACAACATGCTAAACTTTAAATCAAAGGACAGTGCCAATATATGTATAAATGCCTACAGGAATTTTGAATGTTATAATTAAATCAAACCACTGCAAATAATGTCGGAGCCTTAATCACAACATGAAGCAAAAGGATTTCAGTTGAAGTGTTCGGGTTTGAAAAGTTACAGGAGAATTTCTCACTTTCAGTTTTCATAGCTTTTTGTTTGTGCCTATATCAACGCCTACAGTGATGGGATGTTTAGACAGTCATGCTCGGGCACATATAACACAATAATCCCCTTGAAAAATCTTAAAAGGTGGGTCAATATAAAAGGTGGGGGGTTATTTTTCCCTCCCGTTTCATATTCTTCCTTAGAAATCAACACCATATTTGTGTTTAAAGAGATTTCCTATATAATGTTATTCCAAGTGGCAGATGCTGTTCACTGCAGAAATGCTAAATCAGCATGTCAGGCAGTTTAAATTACCTTCTGCTGTCCCCCCCATTCAAATGTGACAATATACATCTTTAAAGGTATACATTTTAATGAAACGTTACTCATGCACTAAATTTTCTTCTACTATATAAAAATTAAAAGCAACATTTCTCTGGCCTAGAGCTAAGTTTTTATGACTCCCATGGTATTCTCTTTCTTATCTTGATTTTTAAAGATGTTCAAATAGTGAGTTTTCTTTTTACTTGACACATTTTCACATATGTTGCCTTGATCTTTCACATCTTTTACCCATATGGGAGGCTTCCTAGGAAATAAAGGATTTGTATTTAATTATCTCATGGGGACAATTTAAAGGGAAATCTTGAGCTTCTCCTCTATAGCTCTGCCTTAAGGAGGAATAAGAAGCAATGGTGAACCTACAGCTTTTGGCTGTTGATAGAGCTTTCTCACCGTTCCCTCTGTGATAGCACCAAGCCCACCTGTTCACTTGGGCACATCCCAAGCTCATTGACTCGGACCCTAATTTGCAAATATTCACCTTGCAACTAGGCAGCAGTGTTTATCGAAAAGGTTTGCTTAGCAAATTAAAAATTATGAAAAGGTAGAAGACACAGCATTTAAATTGAAACCAACAAACTTCATGTAATTTTAAACATTTGAAAAAGTATCCATTTACACTGAATAATTGAAAGCTGAGTTTTAAAAATCTAGAGTAATAAAATTTACATTTTACAGTTGAAACTAGGCTTAGAGAGCTCAAAAGATTCACCCCAAGATCATATAGTTGAACAGTGGGAAGACCAAGATTAGACTGCAAGTCCAAATTCCCTCCCATGTGACTCTACTTTCCAAACTCTTTACTAAAAACAGATCCTCAGAACAGTCTTAAGCTAGTTCCAGTTTTTTTTTTCTTGAATATAATAATACTTCCGGTAAGGTACATTTTACAATCTACCTTTTTTTTCCTCTAAATCAAACTGGTCTTTCTGTACAATAGGCACAGTAATGAAGTTCTACTCCATTCTGCTATAGTCTAAGGCATGGAATTGTCTAAGGTTTTCATATACGTTCAGATGAATGAACCTAGAGAAACAAATAGCAGGTTGATGTACTTAGGAAAAACTTGCCCGACGTCTATATATTAATCAGAACTTTTTCAGTTGTAAGTGACTGAAATCTGTGTTGTTGCCTCTGATAGCTGGAAAGGATACTGGGACAGCGTGCAGGTGTATTAGTCCGTTTTCACGCTGCTGAGAAAGACATACCCAAGACTGGGCAATTTACAAAAGAAAGAGGTTTAATTGGACTTATAGTTTCCACTTGGCTGGGGAAGCCTCACAATCATGGTGGAAGGCAAGGAGGAGCAAGTCCCTTCTTATGTGGATGGCAGCAGGCAAAGACAGAATGAGGAAGATGCAAAAGCAGAAACCCCTGATAAAACCTTCAAATCTCATGAGACTTATTCACTACACGAGAACAGTATGGGGGAAACTGCCCCAGTGATTCAATTATCTCTCACCAGGTCCCTCCCACAATACATAGGAATTATGGGAGTACAGCTCAAGATTTGGGTGGGGACACAGCCAAACCGTATCAGCAGGACTGAAGGAAGAACTTCAGAAACCAGAATCAGGGACAGGGACTCAACCAGGCACTTATGCCATGCTTGCTTACCTCTGCTTGGCTTTGTTCTAAAGACAGGCTTCTGCCAGCATCTGGGAAGATGGCACCAGTAACCTGAGCTTTACATCACACTGGCAATATCACTGTAAACTATGGCTTCCGGATCTATTTCTCAGTCTCAGAGAAAGTCTCCAGTTGACTCTGCTTAGGTCATGTCTCCCACTGGGTCCAGAGGGAAAGGTCACCTTGGCTGCCTAGGGATATTGCAAGTTGGGTCAGGGATGAATGCAAAATCAGAAGATGGGGAAGAGAAAAGCTTCAGGGACAGGCAAAAGCAGTAATTGCTAACATCAATTACATATGGAAGTTATTGGTTTGAGCAACTAGAAGAACACTCGTCTATTCCCTCATCTCTTTCCCAAGGATCTGTCTCTTTAATGGAAGAATTTGCAAAAATATGAACGCCCAGTGCTCATTCCAGGGCTTCTGAATCAGGATTTCATAAGGTGAAGCCCAGAGGGGCTTAGTATTTAAACAGCACCACAGGTGACTCTGACACATCCCTAGATAAGAAGTACTGTTTTAAGTAATTATCATTAGGAGTCTATTTTCTGGGATGGATAACACATCAAGCATTCATCATCCATTAACATCTTATGAATTAAACAGATTAGCCAAATTCACTTAGCAGGATTTCAAAATCATGAGATATAGAATGAATACAATTTGATGAAGAAGAAAAGAGGAATTAGGGCTGGTACTAAATGGGGCCTGGGGTGAGGAGTGGGGGGTGGGGTGGCATTGCAGTGGGGGCTCTGTGCAGTTAAGAATAATCTGAACCTCATATTTTACTTTCTGGCCACAGTCTATGATTCCAGCTCTCTCTGTTTCCTCCTTCCTATTTAATAATTTCCCTTCAGTCTCATACTCCTAGCTCATGATTCCTCAGTTTGCTCTAATTTTCTGCTGGCCTGAACCCTCTCCCCCAGCTGCTTCAAATACCCTGCAACCTCATTCTCCCAGTGCCTCCACCCCAGCAGACCTCAGCCTAGGTCAGTCCTGCAGTTAGCCTTCTCCCCTCCTGCTTGCTGGCTGTTTGATTGATTGATTGATTGATTGAGATGGAGTCTCGCTCTGTCGCCCAGGCTGGAGTGCAGTGGCGCGACCTCGGCTTACTGCAACCTCCGCCTCCCAGGTCCACTTGAATGTTCTATGAGATGTCAATATTAACATATCCAAAACTAATTATGCAATCTTTTCTGCCAAGCCTGTATACCTCTTCTTGTATCCTCAATGCCAGCTAATCGCACCGCATCCATCTAGAAGCTCTCATCAGAAACCTTCAAGTTTTCTAATAAACCCCTGTTCACATCAATCTATATATCCAATTGACTACAAAATCCTACTTATGTCCCCATGTACTTACAATATCTCTAAGCTATTTCTTTCTAACCCCCCATCACCATGTAACTTGTTCAGACCTTCATCATCCTTTGGTTGGACAACTCCAGTGGTACAGCAATTAAGTCTAGTCTCCCTACTGCTGTAAACTGATTCTCCACTTTTTAGCCAGAGTCATGTATTTAGGAGGTAATTCTAAGTGATCCTTTCTGCTTAAAATTTTAAAGTGAATTAGCATCACCTACTGAATAAAGAGATTATTATTATTATTATTATTATTTTTTGGAGTTGGAGTCTTGCTCTGTCGCCCAGGCTGGAGTGCAGTGGTGTGATCTCAGCTCACTGCAACCTCCGCCTCCTGGGTTCAAGTGATTCTCCTGCCTCAGTCCCCTGAGTATCTGGGACTACAGTCATGCACCACCATGCCCAGCTAATTTTTGTATTTTTTAGTAGAGATGGGGTTTCACCATGTTGGCCAGGCTGGTCTTGAACTCCTGACCTCAGGTGACCTGCCAGCCTCAGCCTCCCAAAGTGCTAGGATTACAGGCATGAGCCACCACGCCTGGCCTACAGAGCTGATTTCTTATTATGATATGAAAAATCCCATGTGATCTACCAGTCACTAACCTCTCACTGCAGCACGTTTTATGCAAGTAACCCAGAACTGACTGCAGTTCTCTCCATTCACTGTTCTAGCCCCTGTCCCTTGATCAGGTGATTCTCTCTACTTGGAAGGCCTTTCCCATCATTCATTGATGGACCAATCTCTACTCATTCTTTAAGACAGGAGAACTTGGATGCGAGAAATGCCCAGTTCCATTTTCTCTCGCCTGATAGACTTTGAGTTCATCAGGAAAAGGGCCACAGCTTTAATCTCTGCATTCTTATTCTGTAGCACAATACCAAGCTCATAAAAAGCATATAATAAATATCTGTTGTACTAAGCTGAAGGATATCTTGGGGAGACAATCTCAAAAGGATGAAGAGAGGAAAAACAAATAGGAAATGAGAAGAGGACAAAAACTCTCTTTGCTTATTTTACAATTTTGTTTTTAGTAGGTAATATATTTGGCAGGTAGAAGGAAGGACAGAGGGAGCATGCATTACCAGTACTGCAAATGACAGCTACTAGCAGGGACACATACTCTAGTAGAACAATAAAAATTAAGAAAGAGGGTCAGGCGCAGTGGCTCACGCCCGTAATCCCAGCACTTTGGGAGGCCGAGGTGGGTGGATCACTTGAGGTCAGGAGTTTGACACCAGCCTTACCAACATGGTGAAACCCTGTATCTACAAAAAATACAAAAATTAGCCAGGGGTGGTGTTGGGTACCTGTACACCCCGGTACTTGGGAACCTGAGGCAGGAGAATCGCTTGAACCCAGCAGGCAGAAGTTGCAGTGAGCTGAGATCGTGTCACTGCACTCCAGAATGGGCAACAGAATGACACTCCATCTTAAAAAAAAAAAAAAGAAAAAGAAAAAGAAAGAAAGAAAAAGTGGGATCTGGAGAAGGAAAGTGACAGAGGTGTAAAACCTGTTTCATACATTCAACTTCTTCAGATCTTCTTGACCTTAGCTCTTTCCAGGGCCTTGGGATACTTGTTTCTGCCCAGTAGCTACTTTAGAAACCAACTCTGCATGGCTCCAACCAAACTCATGGGGCTGTAACCTGCGAACACGTTGCGCTTTGCCCTGTGTCCCTGCCACATTACCACTAATCCCATGCAGGGCTTTGCTTGTGATGCTGAGATGCTATTTAGATACATTCAAGGACCCACGTCTATGCAACTCAGAAAGGTAGGTGAGTTACCAGCTCATGGGGCAAATGTTTCACCAATTGGATGCAGGGGCTGGCAAGTTTTTTGGTTTTTTTTTTTTTTTTGAGACGGAGTCTTGCTCTGTTGCCCAGGATGGAGTGCAGTGGCGTGGTCTCAGCTCATGGCAAGCTCCGCCTCCCGGGTTCACGCCATTCTCCTGCCTCAGCCTCCTGAGCAGCTGGGACTACAGGCGCCCGTCACCACGCCTGGCTAATTTTTTTTTTTTTTTTTTTTTGAGACGGAGTCTCGCTCTGTCGCCCAGGCTGGAGTGCAGTGGCGCGATCTCGGCTCACTGCAAGCTCCGCCTCCCGGGTTCACGCCATTCTCCTGCCTCAGCCTCCCGAGTAGCTGGGACTACAGGCGCCCGCCACCACGCCCGGCTAATTTTTTGTATTTTTAGTAGAGACGGGGTTTCACCGTGTTAGCCAGGATGGTCTCCATCTCCTGACCTTGTGATCCACCCGCCTCGGCCTCCCAAAGTGCTGGGATTACAGGCGTGAGCCACTGTGCCCAGCCAGCAAATATATTTTTACCGCTTACTTCCCACGGTTGGGTTGTCTGAAGATGAAGTGATTCATATGGCCCCTTGGGAGATAATCCCGTGAGACTGAGCAATGAACCCCACTGCATACCAAGCATTGGTCTGTTTACCAAC